>NC_000001.11:210911859-211063374 GCF_000001405.40 Homo sapiens
GGATATCTTCCACCCCTCTCCTGCAATCTCTCCACTGCCCTCTTTCCCTTCCTGATTCTTTACTCTGCATCCCCCGACCAAACACACATCACAAAGAACATTTTCTCCTGCCAAATCCCAAAATAATCAACAAGGAAAGCAACAAGACAAAGGGAATGACTTTGTCAGATGAAACTGAAGTCAAAACCCAGTCCAGCCACCTCTCAAACTGTGACCTTAAATAGGTTATTTCATGTCTCTGAACTCAGTTTTCTTATCTGCAAAACAGGGATAAGAAAGCCTATTTACAAGAGTTATTGGGTTGTGAAAACTTCCCAGTATGACCTGGCATGTCTTGGGCACTCAGGGCATGACTATTTGTAGTCTTTTCTCCCTTTCACCAAGGGGATCACTCCTGCTGCTCCTGGTACCATGTCCTGTCCCGTGAAGATCCTGCCAGTCAAGCCTGAACAGTGAAGCCTGGGAGGACTTCCCAACCACACAAAATGACTTCCTACTTTAGGGCTTCCCTTAACTTGCTCTGCAGTCAGGCCAACTTTTTTTTTCTAAAAAGCTTTGTATCTAAGGAACGTCATATCCAGATATACTTATATTTAATGACCTATACTTTAAACACTGTAATGTACCTGATATTTTATGCAAGTTCAATTCTCTTAAAGTAGAGCATACTCAAAGGACTAACAAATAGCTGAGAAACATCATTGTTTGTTGAGTCCTATTAATGTGCTGTAAGAGAGGAAACACAGGGGCAGGGAGAGAGTTATCATTGTTTAAACACTCTGCATGGAAGCACTAGGCTAGGTACTTTTGTACTTCACATCACTTTGTTTTTGCATCCCCAAATGGTACCTCCATTTTCAGTTAAGGAACCTGCCAAAGGTCAAAGCATTAATCATGGGCAGAGGTGGGCCTGAAAGCCAGAACTGACTGGTTCCAAAATGTAGGCTCTTTCCCACATTACAGCAGCCTAGGAACAAAAGAGAAGAGAAAGAGCAAGATGACCCACAGGTCCCACCCTCAGGAAGCTTAGAGCTTTACCAGAGCTGGACCAAATAGCAGGCAAAAAAGATAGCCATGACGTCACAAGAATGTTCACAGAGCAGTATAAAGTGAATCCAAGTGAATAAACCCAAAATAGGGTCCATCAGCCTAAGGGCATGAAGTGACAGAGGGTTATGAACAGGATGGGAGTAACCAGAGTTTTCTGGAGGAGGGGAGAAAGTGATGTGGAAGACAGAAAGTAGTCTAAGGTTGTGTCCAAAATGGGGGCACCCAACTGAAACGCATAGTAGTAGGCAGAACTTTTTTAAAAAACCAGGTTATAGAGAAAAAATCAAGCTGATTGCTGGCTAGAAAAGAACTCTAACGATAAATTGGAAATGAAAGGCTTTTTCTCCTAAAAAATTCTGAACACTGCCCCATTCCCAAAATAAAAATAAACCAAAAATGAAATTAAACAGCATTCTCATGCTCCCGAGAAGGGAGTAGCAATTATTATTTTCTTTTTTTTTTCTAATTACAGAAAAGAAAAAGTTAACTGGGAAGAGCAAGAAACAAACACTGTTATTAACAACAATAAAATCATGACATCTGAAAGTTAAATTTTCAAATTTTTCCAAAAAGTTGTTATACATCATTATCTCATTTAGTTTTCACTTCGGCCAAGTGAGATTGTCAGGAGAGCCTCTTACCTCTAATCCACAAAAATAGAGGATACAGCCCAAACCACAGAGCATATCTAAGATTTGAATCAAAGTCTCTCAACTAGAAATATAAGGACACAGCTCCAACAAGCTCTTCCTGCTGTGGAGGACTAATGTTTCCTAGTATCAACTGACGGAATAAGACTATGGGGAGAAGAAGGAAAGTTGAGGCTGACACTACTGGTCATCCCCCCATATCAGTTTTCCTTGCATATATTACCGTATTTCTACTCAGGCACATGACCACTCAGAATAAATACTATATTTCTATATTTCCAAGCTTCCCTTCCCAGTGTGGCTAGGTTACCAAGTTCCAGCCAATGTGATGTGAACAAAAGTGATAGACAACTTCCTAGTCTTATTCTCAAAAGTAAGGAGTATGACCAGCTTTCCCCTTCCTTTTCTTTCTACTTTCTGGAATAAGAACACATGGCTGGAAAAAAAAGCCATATGGGATCCCAATATGAAAGTCATGTGTTGAATACAGCAGAGAAACCTGGGTCTCTGACAACTGCAGAGTAGCCAGGCCAACCCCAAACTTTTAGAAAATTTTGTTGATGCCACTTTTGGTCTCTGTCCAACAGCAGAACCCATATCCTACTTTTTAAAAAGTGTGGCCAATAGCACTGAAGCACCAAAGACGCCTTCCAAAATGTCAGGGTCTTCTCAATTGCTCTGATTCAGACTAAGAAGTCAGTAAACATTTACTAAGAGCCCACTATGTGTTGGAAGTCTCCTAAGAATATCTTTACAGCCTCCTGGCAATTGTGACCCACATTGTTTTAGAAAAATCAGTATGTTGGTACAGAATGCAAAAAGGGATACTCAGCAAAGGTGAAATGCAAAGAAACAAGAAATCTTTAAATAAGGTCATGAAGGAGGCGGGGAAAAGCCCATATTTGAATGCAAGTGACAATACAAGCTGAAGTGAGGCCACAAAAGATACTGCTGGGCTGCAAGTGGGTAAGGTAATGGAGTCAAGTGTTCAGCAGTGAACGTAAGTACTGTCTCTTCCTCCCAGGCAAGAAGGCAATAGAAGGAAACACTAGTGTGTGCCCAGTTGCTATGTGGGAGTTTCCAGGCCTGAGGAAGAGGTTACCTAAAGCATTAATCAGGATGGTATCTGGCCCAGCAGAAGAACTAGAAGGAGAGAGGAGAACTGGACCAAGGAAATGCTCACAAGAGTCCCTTTAGCTGACGCTCAGCTAGAGTTTTAAGGACCTAAAGTGGGAGGAGGACTGGGAAGAAAGAAATGAATTCAAAGAGACAGGTGCTGTGAAGTGCTGAGGTAGGAGACCAAATATTAGGCTTGGGGGTGGAGAGTGTCTGGAGTAGGAGTACATTGTCTAGACCCCCTACCATTAGCAGAGAGAAAGGAAATAGATGTGGCTGACTTACAATGACAGGATGACAGCAATGACATTATGAGAAGAGAATCAGAAAAGTGCAAAGCCCATATTTAGAAAATGGAAACTGTCTCTTTGCCATCAAATTACCCCCAGAGAGCTCCCCCAAACAGGGTCAGGTCCCTAACCGGAGACCTCCCAGATAAAAGGACTCTTCCCCTGACAATTCTTCTTCCTTTGAGGGATTCCTCAAAAGCCAGGGAAAGGCTCAGCCACAGTGAAGAGTCCATTTCTAGGCCTTTGTTGCTGGTTGCTAGGCTGACAGGGTCTGTCTCTGTCCTTCCTATCCACCTCCATCACCCAGACTGTCAACTCCTTAAGAGCACCAACTACGGTGTTAGTCACCAAATCCTCAGCACTTAGCCTGGCATCTGTTGGGGCATGAGGGGACACTCAGTATGTGCCTGTTGAATGGGGGACATCCTCTCCTAGATGTCACACAGAGGGCTGGCATGGCCTTGTGTTTCTCTTGGCATTACCAATGCATAGGAGAGATTACATGGGAGAAAATGAGTCCACACACCATACCTTATAGTCAGCCCCTGCCGGAGACTACCACAGATCTACACAGGGAAGGCAGGGAAACCAGGGCAGAAGCTGGCTTGCCCCTGATCCAGGCCAAGACCCCAGAATGGAAATTAGACATAAAACCAGGCACTTGGAGACATTGTAGGTCACCTAAATCCGCAGCTAATCACAAAAACTCATTTTAGTCAACTGTTTTCACCCCTTCTTAAAGCAATTTCTTATCAGAACTGAAAACAGGTATGCTAGCTTGAAAATATTTAGTTTTCCTGCTGCACATCATCCTCTGGGGATTTAGCCAAGTTGTAATGAGATGTTCAGAGCAGACAGGGGAGGTCACAGAAAGCTCGGATAATCTATATTATGGCTAATATACTGCAACAGGATAGCCAAGAAACACTATTACTAAGGCATATAAAATTCAATGCAAAGAGGAAAAAATCATAACATACCCAGCACTCCAAAAACCCACTGGCTTTTTGTCTCTTTTTACCCCTTAAGGAGTGCTAGGCCTGACTACCAGAGTGACCTGGTAGTCAGGGAGGGAGACAACACCGAGCCTTTGGTGTAAGTGCAGGCTGTGGTCAATGCTCCCCATTACTGTTGATCCCAAATCTGATGTCAGTCTAATCCCATGAGCTGTACAGGAAGGAGGTCAGTGTATACATGTGTATACACGGGCAAAAAAGGGTAAAAGAGAACTCGGTAAATCTAGTAAGACATCAGCAGTTGTCCTGAACAAACATTGTTTGGAGTATAAGTTTACAAGGATAATTACCAACGCATTACGCCAAGTGCAGTAACTTTCTTGTTAGCACAATTTGGCAGATGTGTATCACATGGAAAGTGGAACAGCTGAAACGGTGACAGGTTGCTGAAAAATGACTTGTTTCCTAAGCACCCAGTCCCCTGAGTCTGCACCATAATCTTGTTCTTAAAATGACTACAACAACAAACAAGCAAAGAAAAAGTTTCCACTGCAGAAACTGCTGGCTTGCTGAAGTTTATGAAGTGAATTTTCAGTGCCTAAGTGTGGAGAGACTGTTGGGGTCTGTGTTGTTAGACCACGCTACCACAGGAGAGAGATCTGGATCTGAATCCTATCTCTCCTGTCTACCAGTCCCAGGTTCTTGGGAAAGTGAGTTAACTTCTGTGAGCCTCCATTTCCTTATGAAATGGAGATAATAATCTCTAACATATACCATTGTCATGAGCAGAAAAAATTGTGTGTAGAGTATTTGGCACAGTGTCTGGCAAATAATAAGTGCTCAAGGAAATGGTGTTAAGTGGACTTGCTTAACTAAACATTGTCCTTGGCTACATAATGCAGAAGTGACTACCCGTGTATTTTACATTTTTAAAAAAAGAAATGGGCTGGGCGCAGTGGCTCACGCATGTAATCCTTGCACTTTGGGAGGCTGAGGCAGGTGGATCACCTGAGGTCAGGAGTTCAAGACCAGCCTGGCCAACATGGTGAAACCCCATCTCCACTAAAAATACAAAAATTAGCCAGGTGTCATGGTGCGTGCCTATAAGCCCAGCTACTTGGGAGGCTAAGGCAGGAGAATCACTTGAACCCAAGAAGCAGAGGTTGCAGTGAGCCTATCATACCACTGCACTGCAGCCTGGGCAACAGAGTGAGACTGTGTCTCAAAAAGAGAGAGAGAAAGAGAAGAGAGAAGAGAGAAATAAAGAGACAGAGAAAGAAAGGGACAGAGAGAGAGAGAGAGAGAGAGAGAAAGAAAGAAAGAAAGAAAGAAAGAAAGAAAGAAAGAAAGAAAGAAAGAAAAGAAAAGAAAGAGAAACACAGAGAGAGAGAGAGAAAGAAAGGGAGACAGAGACACAGAGAGAGAGAAAGAGAGAGAGAGAGAGATCACCTGACTCTCAGAAGGTGGGAAGAGAAAAGAGGCGGTAAATAATTGAGGTTTTCCCTGGAGATTATATCCAAGAAATTGTGCTTTCCATAGACGACTCATTTTGGGGAAAACAAAAAAACAAACAAACAAAAAAACCCCCAACTACTTACCCTTATTATATGCCACCATAACTATTTTCTTTTCTTCTAGGTAAGAAGTTGCAGGGAAATCTCATATTTGAAAGCCTTTTGCGAGTCCATAAAATGGGACCCATTTTCTAAATGATCACTCTTAGCAAATTTTCTGTAATGGATACAATGAGGTATTTCGACTGACAAAGTGGCTCATCTCCCCCTCCCTCTAAGAGAAGGAAATCAAATCATGTCCTGAGCACAGTGCATCTGGTTGTTTATCGGGTGCCCCAAGGCTCACAAAAATGCTGTAAGTAAGCACTGCCTAGGAAATACGTGCAGTTAAGGCTGAAACAGTTCTAGAAGAGAAAAGATCTTAAATCCTTTTCTGTGACATGAGAAAGCACCTCAAATTCTAATTAAGATGAAGCAATTAGCCACCCACAGATCCTTAACACTGCTTCCCATGGCCAGGCAATTATCTCTATTAAAACACATTTTAAAGTAAGGAACAAACCCAAAGCTCCATAGGCACACACTTCCCACAAATCAATTACCCCCTTAGACACATTCCTTAAATACTCTCAGGAAAACTCTGCCTGCAGAGAGGGCTTTTATGAAAGGACTCCATCAGACATGATGAGACTGTTGCAAAAAAGGAGGTACCAAGCAGCAAATGTGACAATTTGAGGTAACAAAATCCACTCACAAAGCGGGATGCTGAATCTCTGGTCAGTTGGACAAAGCAAGGCAAGCTGAAGCCTCAGGTTTCCCTGGTCAGTATAACAATTTGTCAACTCCACCCTACATCAAGCAAAACAGTTTCTACCTACTGAAACAAGAACGCAAGAGTCTTCATGTGTGCTCAGACCTGTCTAAACTGAAATTTCACCAGAGGACCGTCTTCTCACATCTGAATTTGTCATTGAAGTGCCCACAGCATGCACTTGGCAGTTTCACAATGAGTCCAATCCACTCAAACTTGTTTGCTTTTTCCATCCCAGTTAGGTCCCTTCCTACATAAGACTCCCTTTAATGAAGGGAATTCATTGTTGTCTACAGCCAAAAAAAGTTGCTTCTACACTCAGCAATAGAACAGCTATACAACAGTCAGTGGGTAAATCAATCAAATCTAAGTATCTTCCTCAAGAACTAAGGTTGTTTTTCAGTCCAATAAAGTTACTCCAATAACCTATTACTTCTCAGCTGAACAAGGGCCTTTCTTCCCTCTGTGTCTGTGGATTTGTTTTTGAGTTGGAAAATTTCCCATCAAGCAAGACATCAAAAATGTTTATCTAGACCAGCACCGTCCAAATGATTAAATTTAAATTTTTCCTAGGAGCTACTTTTAAAAGGAAAATGAAACAGATTAAATTAATTCTAAGAGAATATTTTACTTAACCGATACATCAGAAATATTACCATTTCAATATATAATCAATATAAAATACAATTAATGAGATGTTTTGCATTCATTTTTCATACATTCTTTTTCTCATACTACATTAGACTATATGCCAAGCTACAGCTATGTTCAAATTGACATGTAGGACATGTAGCATGACGGCTATAGTTAATAATACTGTAATGCCTACAGGAAATTTGCTGAGAGAGCAGATTTCAAGTGCTTTCACCAAAAAAAAGGTAATGATGTAAAGGAATGGATATGTTAATTTGCTTTGCTGTCATAATCATTTCACTATATCAAAATCTCATTTCATACTTTAAATATATACAATTTTTATTAAAAAGAAAAAAATTGACATGAAAAGACTTCCATAATTCACTGTTCTATGAGTAGTTTACTAAAGTGCGTATGCAGCAAGATCTCATTTTAAGTTTATAAAAATCTATATGTATTCAGATATGCAAAGAAAATAGTCTGTAAGAGAAGACACCAACAGTATTAGTAGTTATCTCTGAAAAGCAGAATTATGGATAGTCTTTACTTTCTACTTTGCACTCTTTTGTATTTTCTAAATTTTTTTGCAGTAAGCATATACTGCTTTAATTATCAGGGTAACTGTAAGCCTAGTCTTAAAAAAACTCTTCCTTGTTTTAAGTTATTATTCTCCTGATCCTGCTGGCACTGTAGCCATTTCCCTGTTTCCAGCTAACAGAAGAGATGGCCAACCCCACCCCAGCACTGTCATACTTACAGCCAATCATCATGATGGCCACTGCAAAGATCTTCTCAATGTCTGTGGATGGGGCGATGTTCCCAAAGCCCACACTGGTGAGGCTGGTCATTGTGAAATACAACGAGGAGATGTAGACAGAATTCTTGCTGGGACCACCTTCCCACTTCCCTGAGCCAGACCCATTAAACTGGTAAGGGGTGCCAATGTCCATCGCTAGTTGGTACAGCCAGCTGTTGTTGCGGATTGTCTTGGTGTCCTCGTCAAAGATCTCATAGTCCCCAATGCTGTACCAGATGCAGGCCATCCAGTGTGCAGCCAGCCCAAACACACACACCAGCAGGACCAGCACAGCAGCTCCATATTCAATGTAGTGGTCCAGCTTACGGGCCACTCGCCCAAGACGGAGCAGCCGGACAACTTTTAGAGAGCTGAACAGGCTGCTGATGCCCTGGGAGAAGAGGAACACAGCGTCAGGGCCAAAGAACCAAAGATACTACTCTCGTCCCCTCCGCCCCACTTGGGCCATTATTTTAAGCATAGTGTATTTCCATGAGATGCAATTTTATGCAACCCTTAAAAAAAGTAAAATTAGAATTTTATTCCAAGATGTATGGAATGGAAATTCCCATTAGCATTTTCTACTTCCATTAAAAAGCAAATAAGCAAGCACACAAAACAAATATAATTAGAATTATATTGTACATAAGTAAACAAATACCTGTGGGCATCTTTCCATATCATTACTTACTTTAAAAAATTTTAAGGGTTGCATAATATTTCATCTCATGGAAATGAGATATTGCATAATATGAAAAATTTTAAGGGTTGCATAACATTTATTTCATATTGCATAACATTTCATCCAAATTATATTGTGCATAAGTATGCAAACATATATGTGCTGAAAATGGTTGGGAAATACACCAAAATATTAATAGAGGTTATTGCTGCATTAGCAAGTTATGAAATTACAGGCAATTTTATATTTTGTAAATATTTTTGTTATATTTACTTAATTTCTATATTACTTTTATAATTAAAAAAATAAGTTTATAAATTTAAAAGCAAATACAGTTTTTAAAAAGCTAAAAATAAATTAAGAAATAGCTGAGAAGAATAAAGAAATGAGACTCTGGTTCCTCAGAAACATTACAAATTCTTAGAAGGCCATATCACTTCTGTCAGGCCAGGGATTATATCATCAGACACCACCTACTTAAATACAATCAGTCAAGGAACCTAAAAGCTAGAGGGAAGCTTCTGATTTCACCTGGTCAAGCCTCTTCCCTTCTGGCTGGCATCCACTGATCACACCAGGCCAGGTCTATTCTCCAAATAGTAGTTATCTAGGGAACAGCATTGTGGTAGTGAAAAAAACACTCGAGTACAAACCTGGAAAATGGGGTCTGAGACAAACATAAACCACTAACTTGCTGTGAATTTGGATAATTCAGTTACCCCTTGGTTCCCTTCTCTAGACAATGAGAGGTGGATTGAGGATCTCTAAGTCTTCTCCATACACTAACATACTCTTATCACCAAAGATAGCTGAAACATATTGCAGAAGCCACATCATTTAAAACCCCAAACCTAAGGTGTTCTAAGGTGATTCCAAGATGTATGCAAGGGAAGTTTCCGTTAGCTTTTTTCTACTTCCATTACAAAGCAAATAAACAAGCAAATAAAACAGACATTTCTTCGAATCAAGACTTTGTCCTCCCTTATATAGCAAAAATCCAAGAAAAGATGATGTCCTTCACCAAGTAGATTGAATTACTTTTCATTATTTTAAACACTAACAGTTTCAATGTCACTGCTATTCTCTCTTGTCCACTATCCCTTTAATAACAACACTCCAAGGGTCAAGTTATGTCACAGACAGAAGGAAAATGTACACAAGCTTTTTGATGAACCTATGCCAGAGATCCACCAAGGCTTTTCCTCTTTCTGGATACACAGTTAAACTATATTTTGCAGCTTCTTCCATCTGGGTGGTTCCTGAGGTCTAGTTCTTGCCAACGGAATGTGAGGTGAAATATGTCACTTCCAGGCCACGGCAGTTAATAATAAGTGTGTTTTCTCTACATGCTTCTCCTCCCCAGCACATCTTCCAGGTGAGTCTAGCATGACAGTGAGGCCTCGCATTGAAGGTGGACCCATAGCATGAAAAGAGCCTGGGTCCCGGAAGGACTATGTGGAACACCCCTTTCCCCAAAATCAATTTGAATTGTATTGTGATGTGAATGAGAAAGAAACCTCTGAAATAAGCCACTGCAACTTTGGGGAACATTTGTTACAGTAGCTAGTATTTGCCTTCCCTGACAAATACGGAGCCCCTCTGTCATGTGAACACGTATAAACCATACGTAGCATAGCCTTGTCAATATAGACCATACATCAGGTTGCCACACAAATTACTTTTGTTGAGGTGAGGATGGAAGAGGTGAGATTTATTGCCCTTTAAAAAAAAAACTGACGGGCCAGGCGCGGTGGCTCATGCCTGTAATCCCAGCACTTTGGGAGGCCGAGGCGGGCAGATCACGAGGTAAGGAGATCGAGACCATCCTGGCTAACATGGTGAAACCCTGTCTCCACTAAAAATACAAAAAACTTAGCCAGGCGTGGTGGCAGGCGCCTGTGGTCCCAGCTACTTGGGAGGCTGAAGCAGGAGAATGGCGTGAACCTGGGAGGCAGAGCTTGCATGGTGAGCTGAGATCGTGCCACTGCACTCCAGCCTGGGCAACAGAGCGAGACTCCGTCTCAAAAAAAAAAAAAAAAAAAAAAAAAAAAAAAAAAAAAACCTGACAAGTTTGCAGCCATAAAACGTTCAACAGAAATGATAATTTCTTGTCCAATATATACCAGCAAATGGCAAGATGCAAAAATAAGAATAGATTTTTGTAGGCCAAGGGCCTACATCTCCAGGGTCAGTCTCATCCAAACCATTTTTAACAAACCTTACTCTTGGCATGCCCAGTATTCCTCCCCTGAGTCTCTTTTTCCCTACCTGTGTTTTTCTCAAAAACCCACTATGTAAAAAGGGCTGAGAAAATCCCTTATACTAAGGTACAAAAGACTAATGAGGGTAAATGGATATCCTCTCTTCATAGGCATTTACATTCTAACAGAGGAGAAAACCTTGGGAAACCAACTTCCAACAGTGGAATTAAAAGTACCCATAGCCTGCATGGAGGAGATATTTTGGGAGGCAAAGGAGTGTTTTTGATGACTCAGAAATCAAACACCACATAAGCAGCCACCTACTCTCCACCTCCTCATAAGGAGGTCCCTGAAATCATCTTTCAAACAGTTCTACTCTGAAGCAGAACTTATTGCCCAGGGCAAAACTGCCTTGCCATTTTTTCCTTACTTGTATTCAGTTCAAAGCAACATTTATGTAGAACCTAGTATGTACTCTTTGTGCTAATGCTATAGAGAAGAGATTAAAACGACAGTGTCTTTTTCTTCTTGTTCACTATTGTATCTCCACCACCTGGAATATGGAATAGGGAGAAAAAGGAGGAAGAATCAAAAGCATAATAATAGTGAGAGATACAAGACATGATAACTGAAAATATATTTCTACCTAATAATTGCAGAATTGGAGAGCTAAGAGGGAGCATAGAATTCACCTAGGCCAATTCCTCTGAGTTCAGCAATGTCTTCTAGACCACCTTTAAGAAATGGTCATCCAGCCTCTCCTCGACCACTCCCACTCCTACTGCCTCTGAAGAGCAGACTTCTGTGGCAGTCATTCATAGAGATAAACTGCCATTGGGGGTCCCATCATCTTTCTTACCTCCCTCTTACTTTGTCCTTTCTCCATCCTTCCTCAGTGGCCACCACAATCCATGCAATTACTACCCAAAAGCTATGCTATCCTCTAGCCATACACTCAAATTGTTGCAAGCATCCCACATGGTGGAGGCACAACTGCACGACTGTGCCTGCTCAGACTGGTCCTTCAGTCCAGAATGCTCAGCATTCCTGTTTTGCATACTAGTGATTCTTCAGGCTTGTCACCAACTCCAACCAAGCACCAACTCCTCCATGTGTCCATAAGTATTCTATATCCATTATCACTTGAACACATTGCCTTGCATTAATTTCCTGCACCTATTTCCCCAACTACATCAGGAACTATACCTTTCTGAAGGCAGAGGCCACTTGTTATTCATTTTAGAAGCCCCATATATTCAACATGTATTGTGTTGAACAATGTCCCCACAAAAATCCATGTCCTTCCTAGAACCTCAGAATGTGACCTCATTTGGAAATAGAATAATTGCAGGTATAGTTAGTTAAGATGAGGTCATACTGGAATAGGGTAGATCTTTAATCCAGTATTACTGGTGTCCTTATAAGAAGAGAAGAGATGGATACAGATGGAAAATATTATGTAACAGATGCAGATACAGGGACTGGAGTGATACAAATACAGATTAGAGGGATGTATCTTCAAGTTAAGGAATGCCAAAAATTGCCAGCATCACTAGAGGCTAAGAGAAAGGCATGCAATAGATTCTCTCCATGGCCCTGCCAACACCTTGATTTTAGACTTCTAACCTCCAGAACTGTGAGAGAATAAATTTCTGTCATATTAAGCCACCTAGTTTGTAGTAACATGCTACATCAGCCCTAGGGAATGAATACACCCACACAAGGTCTAGAGCACAGTGCCTTTGCAGAAAGGGTCTTGAATATTTTCTAAACTAAATTGAAGTTTGAATTATTATAAAATTCTTTCTTGTTATAAAGAGCCTCTGAAACAATAAAAAACAAGCATTTTTTCATTGTGTTATTTATCTATGTGTACATTGATACTCTATTACATGGTTGTTGTGTAAGTTCTCTTTGAATGCATTAGCAGCTGGAATTCTAGTTGTCTAATGCATTTTAAGCTATTAATTTGAGATTTTTTTTCCTTACTTGCCTGAGTTCAGTAGATGAGATAAATAAAAAAGAATACTCCAAACATTTTTATTTTATTTTAGTACACTAAAAACATGAGACTTCTTGCATCAGAAAACATACCTCATTCCTTGGCTGTCAGAGCTTCTGCACACTGTGGAACCAGGGACTGGCCTACCAGGCACATATCACCACCAGCAATGCTGTCACCATGACCAGTGGAACCACTGTATGTGATGTGCAATTCCAGGGTTGAGAACCAGCCTGTCAGGCAGCCCCAACCCCCAGAAAATCCACATCACTGCTTCCACTAACAACTGTAGTCTAGGCCACTGAGGCACTCACAGATACCAATGACATTGACTATAGCAAAAAAAAAAAAAAAATTTGGAGACTACACTCCTGCACTCACCCAGATTAAAGCCAAAGTACCCTACCCAACTGATGCTATAGGACATACTTACAGAAAAGAGTCTTTCCCTACAAAAGCCACTCCATAAAACTGAAAGAGGTAACAATTCTACCAGATGCACAGATATCAATGTAGGAACAAAGGAAACATGAAAAAGCAAGAATGCATGACACCTCTAAAGGAACACAATAATTCTCCAGTAACAGACCCAAAAGTAAAGGAAATCTATAAAATGTCTAAAAAGGAATTCAAAACAACGCTCTTAAAGAAACTCAGTGAGGATTGACTGGAATTAAGATGGCAGATAGGAGGCAGGACTAGCTTGCAGCTCCCACTTGGATGGACAGAGCAGCATGTGGAGACTCATGCTGTGAACTTTTGCTCCAAGAACTACTGCAGGAATATATCAGGAAAGCCAAGAGAATCCACAGACCCTTTGAAGGAACTTGATCACTGCTACAGGCTCCTTGATATGCCAAAAACCTGTGAGTCGGCTTGCTTTCTCAGTAGGGAGGCTCACGGCCTCAGGCAGGTTCTTAGCCCTGGTCACCTGCTGCCTGGAAATAGACTCGGTGCTGTTGCGGGGGACATGGTGAGAGTGAGACCAGACTTTAGGACAGAGGGCTGCGTGGGAGCAGGGTGAAGCCTGTGACTGCCAGCTTTCCCCTACTTCCCTGGTGACCTGTATGACTCAGCACAGGCAGCCATCATCCCCACTGGGAATATAACTCCACTGGACTGGGAACCACACTCCCAACTCCCACAGCAACTGCAGCAAGCCCCACACAAAGAAAGACTGAACTCAGACATGCCTATCCCTGTCCCAAGCTGGTGGTCTTTCTCTACCAGCCCTGGTAACCAAAGGTCATAATCTCTTGGGAGCCTATTGCACTGCCCACCACCTGAGAAACCTGAATACTTAACCAGGTGTCCCTAGTGCAAGTTTCTATCCTCCCTAAAGGACCACAGCTGATGCACTCTTGAAAGTGCCATCTCCTGGCTGGAGGCCAACCAACACAAAAACAGCACACTCAATGAAAACACAACCTCACACCTGTAATCCCAACACTTTGGGAGGCCGAGGTGGGCGGATCACCTGAGGTCAGGAGTTCGAGACCAGCCTGGCCAACATGGTGAAACCCCATCTCTACTAAAAATACAAAATATTAGCCAGTCATGGTGGCAGGTGCCTGTAATGCTGGCTACTCAGGAGGCTGAGGCAGGAGAATCACTTGAATCCAGGAGGTGGAGGTTGCAGTGAGCCAAGATGGCAGCACCATTGCCCTCCAGCCTGGACAACAAGAGCAAAACTCCATCTAAACACACACACACACACACACACAAAACCAAGGACCTTCCGAGTCCACTCCACTCCCCTGCTACCTCCACTGGAGCAGGCACTGGTATCCATGGCTGCAAGACCTGAAGATGGATCACATCACAGGACTCTTTGCCGACACTCCCCAGTATGATCCGGAGCCTCGTAGCTCCACTGGGTGGCCAGACCCAGAAGAGCAAAAACAATCCCTGCAGTTTGGCTCTCAGGAAGCTCCATTCCTAGGGGAAGGGGGAGAACACTCTATCAAGGGAGCACCCTGTGGGACAAAAGAATCTGAACAATAGCCCTTGAATCCCAGAACTTCCCTCTGATATAGTAAACCCAAATGAGAAGGAACCAGAAAAACAATTCTGGTAATATGACAAAACAAGCTTCTTTAACCCCCGCAAAAGATCATACCAGCTCACCAGCAACGGATCCAAACCGAGACAAAACCTATGAAACGCCAGAAAAAGAATTCGGGAGGTTGATTATTAAGCTAATCAAGAAGGCACCAGAGAAAGGTGAAGTCCAACTTAAAGAAATCAAAAACATGATACAAGATATGAAGGGAGAATTCTTCAGTGAAATAGATAGCATAAATTAAAAAACAATCACAACTTCTGGAAATGAAAGACACACTTAGAGAAATGCAAAATGCACTGGAAAGTCTCAGGACAGAATTGAACAAGCAGGAGAAAGAACTTCAGAGCTTGAAGACAAGGCTTTCAAATTAACCCAATCCAACAAAAACAAAGAAAAAAGAATTTTAAAAAATGAACAAAGCCTCCAAGAAATTTGGGTTTATGTTAAACATCCAAACCTAAGAATAATTGGTATTCCTGGGGAAGAAGATAAATCTGGAAGTTTGGAAAACATATTTGAGGGAATAATCAAGAAAAACTTCCCCAGCCTTGCTAGAGATCTAGACATCCAAATAAAAGAAGCTCAAAAAACACCAAGAGGAGTCATTGGGAAAAGGTCATCGTCTAGGCACACAGTCATCTAAAGCCAAGACAAAGGAAAGAATCTTAAGACCTGTGAGGCAAAAGCATCAGGTAACCTATAAAGGAAAATCTATCAGATTAACAGCAGATTTCTCAGCAGAAACCCTACAAGCTAGAATGAACTAGGGTCCTATTTTTAGCCTCCTTAAACAAAACAATTAGCAGCCCAAAATTTTGTATCCAGCAAAACCAAACTTCATAAATGAAGGAAAGATGCAATCTTTTCCAGACAAACAAATGCTGAGAGAATTCACCACAACCAAGCCATCACTACAAGAACTGCTAAAAGGACCTCTAAATCTTGAAACAAATCCTTGAAGTACACCAAAATGGAACCTCCTTAAAGCATAAATCTCACAGGACATATATAACAGTAACACAATGAAAAAAAAGATATTCAGGCAACAAATACATGATGAATAGAATAATACCTCAAATATCAATACTAACATTGAATGTAAATGGCCTAAAGGCTCCACTTAAAATATATAGAATGGCAGAATGGATAAGAATTCACCAACCAAGTTTCTGATGTCTTCAGGAGACTCACCTAACACACAGGGCCTCACATAAACTTAAGGTAAAGGGGTGGAAAAAGATATTCTATGAAAATGGACAACAAAAATGAGCAGGAGTGGCTATTCTTATATCAGACAAAACAAACTTTAAAGAAACAGCAGCTAAAAAAAGACAAAGGGGGCACCACATAATGATAAAAGGCCTTGTCCAACAGGAAAATATGACAATTCTAAATATATATGCACCTAAAACTGGATCTCCCAAATTTATAAAACAATTACTACTAGACCTAAGAAATGAGATAGATGGCAACACAATAATAGTGGGGGACTTTAATACTCCACAGACAACACTAGATAGGTCATCAAGACAGAAAGTCAACAAAGAAACAAACTTAAACTATATGCTACCACAAATAAACTTAACAGATATTTACAGAATATTCTACTCAACAACTGCAGAATACACATTCAGCACACGGAACATCAGCACATGGAACATTCTCCAAGATAGACCATATGATAGGCCACAAAACAGGCCTCAGTAAAATTAAGAAAATCTAAATTACATAAAGTACTCTCTTAAACCACAGTGGAATAAAACTGGAAATGGACTCCAAAAGGAACCCTCAAAACAATCCAAATACATGGAAATTAAATAACCTACTCCAGAATGATCATTGGGTCAACAATGAAATCCAGAAGGAAATTTAAAAATTCTTTGAACCAAACAACAATAGTGAAACAACCTATCAAAACCTCTGGAATACAGCAAAAGCAGTGTTAAGAGGAAAGTTCATAGCCTTAAGTGTCTACGTCAAAAAGTCTGAAAGAGCACAAATAGACACCTTACAGAACTGCATAAACAAGAACAATTCAAACCCAAACCCAGCAGAAGAAAAGAAATAACAAAGATAGAGCAGAACTAAATGAAACAAAAGAAAAAAGATGAAAAGAAAAGATGGTTCTTTGAAAAGATAGATAAAATTGATAGACCATTAACAAGATTAACCAAAAAAGAAAAGATCCAAATAAACTCAATTACAAACGAAACGAGAGATACTACAACTAATGCCACAGAAATACAAAAGATTATTCAAGGCTACAATGAAAACCTTTATGTGCATAAACTAGAACACCTAGAGGAGATGAATAAATTCCTGGAAATATGCAACCCTCCTAGATTTAACCAGGAAGATACAGAATCTCTGAAGAGATCAATAACAAGTAGCGAGATTGAAATAATTTAAAAATTTCTGACAAGAAAAAGTCAAGGGCCAGATGGATCCACAGTTGAATTCTATCAGATATTCAGAGAAGAATTGGTATCAATCTACTGACACCATTCCAAAAGACAGAGAAAGAGGGAATCCTCCGTAAATCATTCTGTGAAGCCAGTATAACCCTACTACCAAAATCAGGGAAGGACATGACCAAAAAAGAAAACTACAGGCCAATATCCCTGATGAACATAGATTAAAAAATCCTTAACAAAATACTAGCAAACTGAATCCAACAGCATATTAAAAAGATAAACCACCATGATCAAGTGGGTTTCATACCAGGGATGCAGGGATGGTTTAACATACACAAGTCAATAAATGTGATACACCACATAAACAGAATTAAAAACAAAAATCACATGATTATCTCAATAGACACAGAAAAAGCATCTGACAAAATTCAGCATCGCTTTATGATTAAAACTCTCAGCAAAATCTGCAGAGAAGGAACACACCTTAAGGTAATAAAAGCCATCTATGACAAACCCACAGCCAACATCACACAGAACAGGGAAAAGTTGAACGCATTCCCTCATGAGAACTGGAACAAGACAAGGTTGCCCACTTTCGCCACTTCTATTCAACACAGTACTGGAAGTCCTAGCCACAGCAATCAGACAAGAGAGAAATCAAGGGCATCCGAATCAATACAGAGGGACTCAAACTGTCACTGTTTGCTGATGATATAATTGTTTACCTAGAAAACCCTAAAGACTCATCCAAAAAGCTCCTAGAACTGATAAAAGAATTCAGCAAAGTTTCCAGATACAAAATTAATGTACACAAATCAGTAGCTCTTTTATTCACCAACAGCAACCAAGCTGAGAATTAAATCAAGAACTGAATCCCTTTCACAATAGCTGCAAAAAAATAAAGTAAAATACATAGGAATATACCTAACCAAGGAGGTGAAAGTCCTCTACAATGAAAACTACAAAACACTGCTGAAAGAAATCATAGACCACACAAACAAATGGAAACACAGCCCATGCTCATGGATGGGTAGAACCAATATCATGAAAATGACCACGCTGTCAAAAACAATCTACAAAGTCAATGCAATTCCCATCAAAATACCACCATCATTCTTCACAGAACTAGAAAAAACAATCCTAAAATTCTTATGGAATCAAGAGAGAGCCCACATAGCCAAAGCAAGACTAAGCAAAAAGAACAAATCTGGAGGCATCAGATTAATTACCTAACTGCAAACTATATTATAAGGCCATCGTCACCAAAACAGCATAGTACTGGTATAAAAATAAGCACATAGACCAATGGAATAGAATAAGGAACCCAGAAATAAACCCAAATACTTACAGCCAACTGATTTTTGACATAGCAAACAAAAAATAAAGTGGGGAAAAGACACTGATTCAACAAATGGTGCTGGGATAACTGGCAAGCCACATGTAGAAGAATAAAACAGAATCCTCATCTCTCACCTTATACAAAAATCAACTCAAGATGGATTAAAGACTTAAATCTAAGACCCAAAACCATAAAGAGTCTAGAAGATAACATTGGAAAAAACCCTTCTAGACATTGACTTAGGCAAAGACTTCATGACCAAGAACCCAAAAGCAAATGCAATAAAAACAAAGATAAATAGGTGGGACTTAATTAAACTAAAAAGCTTCTGCACAGCAAAAGAAATAAGCAGCAGAGTTAATAGACAACCCACAGAGTGGGAGAAAATCTTCACAATCTATACATCTGACAGAGGACTAATATCCAGAATCAACAAAGAACTCAAATCAGCAAGAAAAAACAAACAATCCCATCAAAAAGTGGGCTAAGGACATGAATAGACAATTCTCAAAAGAAAATATACAAATGGCCAACAAGCATATGGAAAAATGCTAAACATTACTAATTATCAGGGAAACCACAATGTGTACTTCACTCCTACAAGAATGGCCATAATCAAAAAGTCAAAAATAATAGATATTGGCAGGGGTACAGTGAAAAGGGAACACTTTTACACTGTTGGTGAGACTGTAAACTAGTACAACCAGTATGGAAAACAGTGTGGAGACTTCTTAAAGAACTAAAAGTAGATCTACCATTTGATCCAGCAATCCCACTACTAGGTATCTACCCAGAGGAAAAGAAGTCATTATACGAAAAAGATACTTGCACACACATATTTATTGCAGCACAATTTGCAATTGCAAAAATATGGAACCAGCCCAAATGTGCGTCAATCAACAAGTGGATAAAGAAAATGTGGTGAATATATATACCGTGGAATACTACTCAGCTATAAAAAAGAATAAAATACTGGCATTCACAGCAACCTGGATGGAATTGGAGACTATTATTCTAAATGAAGTTACTCAAGAATGGACAAACAAACATTGTATGTTCTCACTCACATGTGGGAGCTAAACTATGAGGACGCAAAGGCCTAAGAATGATACATTGGACTTTGGGGACTTGGGGGAAAGGGTGAGGGTGGTAAGGGATAAAAGACTATACATTGGGTACAGTGTCCACTGCTCTGGTGATGGGTGCATCAAAATCTCAGAAATCACCACTAAATAACTTCATGTAACCAAACAACAACTGTTCCCCAGAAACCTAATAAAATTAAATTTAATTTAATTTAAAAATAAAAATAAACTCAGCGAGATATAAAAGAATACAGATATACAATTCAGCAAAAATCAGAAAAACAACTCATGACCTAAATGAGAAATTCAACAAAGAGATAGATATCATAAAAGAGAAAAAAACAGAAATCTTGGAGGTGAAGTCAGTGAACGAAATAAAAAAAAAAACAATCCAGGGTGTCAACAACAGACTAGTTCAAGGAGAAGAAACAATTTCTGAACTTGAGACAAGCCTCTTGAAGTAACCCAGAAGACAAAGTAATAAAAAATAATGAAGAAAGTCTATGGGACACCATTAAGTTAATAAATTTTTACATTATGTAAATTCAAGAAGGTGAAAAGACAGTAAAAGGAACAGAAAACCCACGTAATGAAATAATAGCTGGAAACTTCCCATATCTTGGGAGAGATATGGACATCCACCCAGATCCAGGAAGTTTGAAGGTCCCCAAATAGATTCAACCTAATAAGGGTTATCTATGAGGCACATTATAGTCAAACTGTTAGAAGTCAAAGATAGAATTCTAAAAACAGCAAGAGAAAAAGCTTCAAGTCACATATGAGGGAACTGCTCTTTCTTATGAGAAATGCTTAACAGAGTCCAATATCTAGAAATGAAAGGATGATAACTACTACCACAAAAACATATGAAAGTATAAACCTCACTGGCTGGGCAGATATACAAATGAGAATGAAAAAGAAATTAAACCTTGTCACTACAGAAAACCACCAAACCAAAAAGATAAACACTAAAAGAGGAAACAAAGAATATCCAAATCACCAGAAAACAACAAACAAAATGACAGGAGTAAGTACTGACCTATCAATAATAACCTTTAATGTAAATGTATTATATTCCCCAATTAAAAGATACACATTGGATGAATGAATAAAAAACCAAGACCCAACTACATGCTACCTAAAAGAAACTCACTTCACCTGTAAAAACACACAGACTGAAAAAGAAGGAATGGAAAAAAAATATTCCATGCAAACAGAAACCAAAACCAAGCAGGAGTAGCACACTTATGTCAGATAAAATAAACTTTAAGCCAAAAACTGTAAAAAGAGACCAAGAAGTTCATTATATAATGAGCAAAGAATCAATTTAGCAAGACAATATAATAACTGTAAATATATATGAACCCAACACTGGAGCTCTCAGATATATAAAGCAAATATTATTAGATCTAAAGGAAAAGATAGACCCCAATAAAATACTAGTTGGTGACTCCAACATCCCACTCTCAGCATTATATTTAATTTTAGATCACTTAGACAGAAAATCAACAAAGAAACATCAGATTTAAACTGTACTACAGACGTCATAGACATTTACCCACATTTCATCCAACAGCTGCAGAATACATATTTCTGTTATCAGCAAAAGGATCATTGTCCAGGATAGCAAAGACTTGGAACCAATCCAAATGTCCAACAATGATAGACTGGATTAAGAAAATGTGGCACATATACACCATGGAATACTATGCAGCCATAAAAAAGGATGAGTTCATGTCCTTTGTAGGGACATGGATGAAATTGGAAATCATCATTCTCAGTAAACTATCGCAAGAACAAAAAACCAAACACCACATATTCTCACTCATAGGTGGGAATTGAACAATGAGAACACATGGACACAGCAAGGGGAACATCAAACTCTGGGGACTGTTGTGGGGTGGGGGGAGCGGGGAGGGATAGCTTTCGGAGATATATCTAATGCTAAATGATGAGTTAATGGGTGCAGCACACCAGCATGGCACATGTATACATATGTAACTAACCTGCACATTGTGAACATGTACCCTAAAACTTAAAGTATAATAATAATAAAATTTAAAAAAAAAATCAGAACAAAAATAAATGAAATAGAGACTAAAAACATACAAAAAATGAATGAAATGAAAAGTTGGTTTTTTCAAAAGATAAACAAAATCAACAAAACCATTAGCTAAACCAACTAGGAAAAAGAGATAAGACCCAAGTAAATAAAATCAGAAATGAAAAAGGAGACATTACAATGGATAACACAGAAATAGAAAGGATCATTAGAGACTATTATAAACAGGAACCATCACACTATCTGACTTCAAAATTTACTACAAAGCTATAGTAACCAAAACAGCATAGTACTGGCATTAAGACAGACACATAGACCAATGGATAGAATAAAGAACCCACAAATAAACCCATGTATTTACACCCAATTTATTTTCAAAAAAGGTCCCAAGGACATACATTGGGGAAAGGACAGTATCTTCAATAAATGATGTTGGGGAAACTGGATATCCATATACAGAAGGATGAAACTAGACTCCTATCTCTCACTATATGCAAAAATCAACACGAAATGGATTAAAGACTTACATCTAAGACTAGAAATTATGAAATTACTGTAAGAAAACATAGGGAAAATGCTTCAGGACATTAGTCTGGGAAAAGATTTTATGGGTAACTCCTCAAAAGTACAGGTAGCAAAAGCCAGAATAGACAAATGGGATTATATAAAACTGCAAAGCTTCTGTAAAGCAAAGGAAACAATCCATAGAGTGAAGAGACAACCTAAAGAATGGATTTGTAAACTCTCCATCCAACAAGGATGAATATCCTTAAGTAATATCTAGAATATACAAGGAACTCAACAGCAAAACATTTAAAATAATCTGATTAAGAATTGGCAGATGGGCTGGGCGCGGTGGCTCACGTCTGTAATTCCAGCACTTTGTGGGGCCAAGGTGGGCAGATCATGAGGTCAGGAGTTCCAGACCAGCCTGGCCAATATGATACCAAAAATACAAAAATTAGCTGGGCATGGTGGCTTGCGCCTGTAGTCCCAGCTACTTGGGAGGCTGAGGCAGAAGAATCGCTTGAAACCAGGAGGCGGAGGTTGCAGTGAGCCGAAAGCGTGCCACTGCACTCCAGCCTGGGTGACAGAGCAAGACTCCGTCTCAAAAAAAAAAAATTGGCAGATGATCTGAAAGGTATATGAAAAAATGCCCAACATCATTAATCATTAAGGAAATGCAAGTCAAAACCACAATGACATACCATCTCGTTGCAGTTAGAATGGCTACTATCAAAAAGATAAAAAATAACAATTGCTAGTGAGGATGAGACGAAAAAGGAACTCTTGTACACTATTGGTGTACAAGATAATATAAATTGGTTATAAATAATATATATTGCTTGTATATATACAAGCAATATAAATTGGTTCAGTCACTGTAGACAACAGTAAGGAAGTTCTTCAGAAAACTAAAAATAGAACCATCATATGATCCAGCAATCCCAATGCTGGGTTATGCCCAAAAGAAAGGGAATCAGTATGTCAAAGAGATAGCTGCACTCATGTTTACTATAGCACTGTTCACAATAGCTAAGATATGGAATTTACCTTAGTGTCATCAACAGATAAATGGGCAAAGAAAATGTCACACACACACACACACACACACACACACACACACACACACACACGAATAGTATTCAGCCATAAAAAAAAAAATAAAATCCTGCCATTTGCAGGATGACAAATGGATGAGCCTGGAACACATCATGTTAAATGAAATGAACCAGGCATGAAAAGATAAATATTACATGTTCACACTCATATATGGAAGATAAAAAGGTTTCTCATAGAAGTAGAGAGCAAAAATAACGGTTACTAGAGACTGAGAAGGGGAGAGGGAATAGGGAGAGTTCGGTTATTGGATACAAAATTACAACTTGAGAGGAGCAATAAATTCTAGTACCCTATAGCACTGCAGGGTGACTACAATTAATAAGTTGTTATATGTTTTTAAATAGCTAAAAGAGTTCCTAGCACAAAGAAGTGATAAATGTTTGAGGTGACAGATATGCTAAATACACTGATTTGACCAGTACACATTATATTACATGTATTGAAAATCACACTGTACCCCATAAAAATGAACGGTTATGTGCCAATTAAAAATAATGTTAAAAGAAAACCTACCTCACATTTCAAATAATTCCATAGAGTTCTTTAACACAAACTTGCAATTATGAACAATCAAGAATTTCAAGTTGGATCAATATGGATGAAGAGACAGTGAGAACCTATTTTAGTGAGCTTTATCCCTGAAGGCCAACATCTACGACCGGAGAGAATGCGTTGGTAAATCTCAGTAAACTCTGTTGTAGTTATACTGATGCAATTCAATTGAAATGGACATTTAGCAATTAATAGATTCATCTGTGTGCAAGCTATCAAATTTTAGCCATTCACTTGGCCTAAATAAAGCATTCCTTTAAATTGGGCTTTACATTGTCTTCTCATCTAGCCAGGTTAACCAATTCTCTGCTCGATTTTATTTTTTCTGCCATAGACAGGGAAATAACAGTCACAGACTGATGACAATGTGTTGCTGAAAAGAACCACTCAGTCTTTCAGGTTGATAGATAGTTCTGACAGGCTTCCAGGTCTGTATGGAGACACAATCGCATCCATAGCAAATTCTGCAGGTAACCTCTTTTTACAGTTTCCTGATTGCTTTCAACCCCGTATTACTCATCACTACTCTTTCCCTGCATCCTTCTCCAGCTAAAGACCTCCTTTTCGATGCTTCCCTCTGAGACCTCTGGAACCCATCTTCATGTGTAGAGAAATTCCCAGCCTCAACATCTTCATAGGTTGTTCTCACCACCTTCTTGATTTAGTTGAAACCTGGCTTTCCGCCAGCACCCTGCTTTTTCCCTCTTCTCCCTTACATCCTGGAGTTAATAGTAGAGACTTTTCAAGCTCCACACTTGCATCTTCCAAAGAAGTGCTATTTGGCACTCAAAACCCAAAATTCTCCTCTCCCTTAACATTCATGCCATTGAGCAATACCACACCCTCTTTACTGCTATCTAATTATGAATGGGTAACATCTGTTTAATGCTTACAAATATGCCAGAAATTAGACTTAGTATTTTCATTAATTATCTTGCATACCAATTTCTTGGCCCCTCCCTTACAGCCCCTGAATCTTTTATCCTGGCTTCCCAGCCAATCTCCTGCTGTCAGCATGGGAAACTTTAATGTCCATGAGGAAAAATCATTCAACACTCTATTCTTTGACCTCCTCATTGCCAATGATCTTTACCTTTACTCCACATCATCACTGGAAACCACTCCAACTCTGAAATCTTACACACTAGCATTCTACATGATGAGTGCAACTTTCCATTCCTCCCACTCTTTTTCCCTTATCCCCATCCTACCTAATTTTTGGCTTCTCTTTGATATCTCTATTCCTCATCTCTTTTTATATTTCCAGCTATCAACTCTGCAGATTCCACTTCCTTTTGTATCATACTAGACTCTGTTAATTACATCACTTAGAATACTCTCCTCCCACCACTCTAACAACCTTGCTCCCTGCCCTCCTGCCACATTTGCCCTGCCAAACTTCCTAATATTCCTTCCTAAAACTATAATCAACACACAACGGCTCAATTTCTCATTTCCCACTCATTTTTCCATCCATCGCAATCAGATGTTCACTCCCACTGCTTCTCAGAATCTACCTTCCCAAGGGTTACCAATGACTTTCTAATTGTTGTACCTTCAGCACTTGACACTTGTAATGAACATTTGACATTCTGCATGGCCACATAGTGTCTCAACTGTCTTCCTGTGTTTGAGGAATCACCACCTTACAAGGTGCAGCCTGTCTCCTACCACACAAGCTGAGCATGCCAGAATACCTGCTTTTCCATGCAACTACAGTATGAGCACATGATCTAGAATTGGCCCATCAGAGGCACCCACTCCAGTAACTGAATAGTACCTAATGGAGGAACTATGCAAGACCCTTTTGGCTAGAGCATGGCAGTACTGCTAGTTCCCAGAGGCAGTGGGTCATGGTTCTGGAAGTGGTATTCAATGTCACCTGATGGTTTTATCAGCTGTGTATGTTACAGGTCCATGTCCAGTAGCAGCAGCAGTGGTATACTCCTGTTACTCATTCTACAACATGATTTGGGGCATTGTTCCTGGCCACGTAGCCTCCAAATGTTTTCCTGGTCTTTCCAAAAGCTCTGTGAGTTCCTAACATTCTTTTAATAACCTTTTTTCCTCCTTATATTAACCAGATTTGAACGCTGACTACTACAACAATTTAGAAAAGACTATACTCCCCTGGTTCCCAAAGCACCTCTCTTTATGTCTAATTAAACCTAAGTCCTTTTCTAGAACTTCTTCTCTTCTCAATATAGACCCTTTCCCTGGGAAGCTGCATCCATTTATGTGGCTTTAACCACCATCTATTCACTAATGACCTGCAAATCTACCTTTTCAATCCAGGCATTCCTCCTGACCTCAAGACCTCTATGGGAATGTCCCTGGAATGACCCTTGGTCATGTCATTGGAATGTCCATGGGTTTGGCATGTCTAACCTTCAGTCTATCTCCTAACCCCTAACTTGGAGAATGTGCTCTGGGTCTATAATCTCTCAAGTACAAAACCAGGTATCATCATCTTAGTTGGTCATGCAAGCATTTCTTCACTGAATGTCCTTCTAAGAAGGGCAATGTTAAGCATATTGGTATTCCAATAGGTAATTTTGCTGTCATTTGGATAAAAATAGGAAATAAATTATTTTCTTATCTATACATATAATATCTCTAGAAACACACGTTAAATACTAGAAATATCGATTGTCCCCAAGAAGGAAGACTTTTTTGCTGTATATGCTCTTTTGAATATTGTGCCATGTGAATTTATTCAGTTTTTTAAATTAAGTTATAAAAATAATTAAATAAAAGTTTAGAAATACAACACAACCCCACTTAAACTAGGCAATATCTCCCTCTGTCTTCTAGATAAAATTCCTTTAGTTTAGCAAATGAGACTCTTCGTAATTTGATCCTTGGCAGCCTCATCTCTCACTTCTTCTCTCCCAGGAATCTCTCTTTAGTCATACCAGATTATTTGTGGTTCCACAATCACACTGTGCCTTCACTCATGCTATTTCTTCTATCTCAAACACTGTCACACTGGTTGTCTGCCTGGAAAACTCCTACCCATCCTCAAATACATTTCTCAATATCCCAGTGGGAAGATGAGTCACAACATCTTTATTATTAAAAAATTATCACTGTATAAAGTATGCAAGTAGTTTATCTTTTAAAATAAATATTAGTGTGGATTTGACCTTATCTCCAGAATAGTGTCACTCTCTGACTTGAATTCTAATTGGCTTTCTTGACTGTAGAGAAACGAGTACGAATATGGCAGTATCTTAGAAACTGTGAATCAGATATCAATCATAGGAATATAACTCTCCATGTGTGTCTTTATGGATGAAAAATTGAGAACTGCTGTTCTAAGACTCAACACTAACAATTGCCTCTCTGTGAAGCCCCCTGATCCCCATAGGCGGAGCTGGACATGCCCTCCTCTAGGCTCCCATGAATGGTCCTTCACTCATTCTTTCAACAAATACTTCCTGCACACCTAATACAAGCCACACATAATTTTAAGCACTAATAAACCGGTGACAAACAAGACCAAAATCCTTGACCTTTTGGAACTTTCATTTGACTGCGGGGGGAGACAGAGAATAAACAGCATAAATAAGAAAAGTAATGCTTTGTTATATGGCAATAAGATGAAAAATTTGGCAAGAAATGAAAATATAGGGTGCCAAAAAGAGGGATGATGGTCATTGTTAAATAGGGTTGTGAAGGAAAACTCTTCACTGAGATGTTAGCATTTCAGGCCCAACAGAGGGGAGAGTGGAAGCCACAAAAGAATCCAAGTGAAGCATGTTCCAGACAGAAGGATCAGCAAGTGCAAGATGTCCTGAGGCAGGATTGGCATTTGTCACACTGTCTTTATATTAGGCTGACAGGCTTTTGAGGTCAGGAAGCACATCTTTGGTGAGAATAATCAATATTTATTGAGTGGTTTCTGACTGCCCGGCACAGAAGGCATTTTACATGCATTAACTCACTTAATCATCATGACCTTTTGAGGTAAGGATATTAATATACCCAACTTACGGTTGAAGAAACAGATACACAGTATCATTTGTCCAATACAGCATAGGTAGAAAGTAGCACAGCTAGAATTTGAACCCAGATCAACTGACTCCCAAGTATATGTTCTTAACCATTTGCCCTATAGAGTCTACCTTTAAATTCTCATCTTCAGAATTCTACCTCACTGTGGATGCCCAATAAATGTTTGTTGAATGGAAACTCAAACTGTGACTTACAAGAAGTTTTGACAATGGAAAATCTAGTGGTCTGTTACAAGGATTTACTATGTTATTAACAGAGATAGTCTTGTTTGTTGTCTTTATAAAACAGAGATGACTTCAAGAATAAATATTCCATGATGATCCCACTACTCTGAGAACTACAGAGCCATTGCAACTGTATAATGGAATAAATTGGCTTATCAGATTTTATTGGAAGTTATTCAATGAAGCTGAAATACAATTTTCTTCCCTTCCATTGCTTCAACATTTTACTTTAGGCTGGTTTAATTCAATTCGGCAATCATTTCCTGAAAACCTAGGACAGGAAGACACAGCCAAGAGCTACCAGTGATACAAAAGCCAGGAAGACACATGCCCTTATGTTGCCTACAATCAGCCACAGAGAAAACACAGCCTGTAAGCTGCAATGCAGCAGCAAGCACAAGTTAGCTGCCATCATAAAGACTGAATTAGCACAAGACCTGTGGGTGTGCATCAAGAAGATTTTCTTCTAGTTTATTTAACAGGTCTGTTGACTACATTCAGGGGAAGGATGTGGTTACTGAGTGTAAAGAGAGCTTTGAACTAAAAATGGGATAGCTTGCAACCTTCCATTTGTTTAATCCAATAATGTACCCAAAAGGCACATCTGCAGTCTCCATAGAAAACAATCATTGAAGGAAATTTACAAATGTTGCTTAAAACCATCCACTTCCTTTCTGTTTATAATTCAAACCATGAAATAAACTGCGTATTCAGTTGTGATAATTTATGGCTTTTTCCTTCTAGAGGCCTGAAAACTGAAATCTTTTTCATTGGCCAAATAAAATCCAAAGGACACAGAAAAGAGAATCTGGTTTTATCAAACCATATCTCCATCTTCTCAGAATACAAATTTCAGGTTTTCTTCTCCCAAGGAAATGAAATTAATCCAAGTAGCCTAGAATCTATTTCTCTCATATTGAAGGAAGCAATACAATCCTGTTGTATCCTGACATTGATGCAGTTAGCCACGCCCTTAATTTGCTTTAGGCTAATTTGATTTAAATTCTCCAAGATGACAGTATGTCAGGGTCTGGTGGGGGTGAAAACCCCAGTGACTTTCATGGGGGTTGCATCTATAGGCATGTTTGGCACTGGGCCTGAGTATAGTACTGGTCCACTTATCAGTCCCCTGGGCAGAGCTCTGGATACAGAACAGCACCAACATTAGGAAAGCATCGCCTTGACTAGGAAGATTTGAGGAAGTAAGGAAGCGGCTGGGTCTCCTAACCACATGTGCTAACACTATCTACTTAATGCAAAGGGAAAACACAGGTAATTCCCTATGCAATCGAAT
The DNA here is from genome assembly GCF_000001405.40 of Homo sapiens. Taxonomy (NCBI): domain Eukaryota; kingdom Metazoa; phylum Chordata; class Mammalia; order Primates; family Hominidae; genus Homo; species Homo sapiens. The sequence goes on from NC_000001.11 coordinate 210,941,239, forward strand.
TTGGCCTTTAAAAAGCACACATTCCCCCCACAAACATAATCCACTTCAGTGGCATCCTTGCCCAACACCAAGCTTCAAGTAAGAAGGTAGAAGCCTCCAAACATGTAGCCTCCTGACAAGCACCAAGAATTTGTGGTCTGATTGCCCTAGGCCTCCACTAGCAGGTTGGGGGCAAGGAGGCAAGGTTTTAAAAAGCTGGTTTAGATGTGCAAAAGGTTCCCTGGAGTTTGGGGAGCCTGGTATGCTAAAGTACAGGCCAGTAGCCCAAACACCTGGGTTGTATCTGTGAGAACTGGGCAGGGTGCTAAGGATTCCCAATACTCAGGGACTACCTCACATGTTGGGCAAACCAAAGCTCTGCGAGGCAGAGCACCCTCAGAAAAAGAGCTTGGCAAGTCACTGGGCATACTTCTGAGGAGGCAAAGGAAGTCAAAGCTGGTTCCCAAAAGAGGTGCCATGAGGGTGGACTTGGCCCCATGATGTCTCTCAGTGTGACTGAAAAAGGGACAGGGAGAAACAGAGGACTCATAGGGAAACAGTGCAATCCTAACTCAGGGATGTTCTAGGTTTAAGGTAATAAGGGCCCCCTTCCAGCTAGAAGGAGGATCAGTATTTTGCCTTTATACTGTTTATGGTTTTGACTCTGTCCTATCTTCACAAATAGATTTAAAGCCCTTGAGAGCCATTTGTCTTTGCAGCTCAACAGAGAATGGTGATGAGACTACTAATCATTCTAGACTCTTCCATTCCATGAAGCAACTGAGAGACACAGAGCTCCACTCTACTGCCATTAGGCCTTCTGAGGATAAATCTCTATAGAGATTTGTAAAGAAAATTATGGCTTCTTTAAAAGGCTTCCAGTAAATATATAGTTCCAAAGTTTCTGGAAGCAGGCAGAAGTAAGTAAACATACTTAATCATTCTGTGTGGATTAAAATAATCAATAACCAAAACTTTTGAGAATAAGAGAAGCCATAGACAAAATAAACTGCTTTCTTGTTAGGAAAACAACAACAAAAGGCCACCAAGAGGAGTCTCATGGATGGACCATATCACATGTAGGATTCAATCCAAGTTCAGGGCACAGGCTAAGACCAGGCCCCCTGTGACCCCAGTAGGTCACCCAACCTCTCCGAGCTTCACATCTTCACCTATAAAGTAGGAAAAATGCATGTAATACAGGGCTAATGCCCATAAAAGTATTAGTGGTTGTTTTACAAGGGTGCCACCTTGCTGTCTTCCAGCTGTAAAAAATCAAGCTAAAAAAGAAAAGAAAGTCACAAAGCGGAGAAACTATTTCTCCACAGTAAAGAGAAGAATCTGAATTATCAAAAGAAGTTACCACTAGATGAGAGTTAATAAATAAGGAGAATAATGCCCCTTCTCTGAAAATTTGCAAACAAGCAGTCATATATACTGGACCTAAACAGCTGTGTAACTTCAGGAAAATGGGCAGGGATCCTAGACTTTTGCTTCAGGACACTCAGAGACCCATAGGGGAGCAAAGGTCGGTTTCACCTGATAAGGTTATTAAAAAAAAAAAAGGATATCTGAAATAATGAAAACTCATAGGATACAATTTATACCTAGGTATTGGTCTTTCTAAACTTGCTTTAAAAGATCTAGCACTTCTTTGACTATAATTATCAGAAATTACCAAGAAAACAAACATGCCATTCAGAAGTTTATTTTTGTGGAAAAGTTGTATATAGACTTTGACCTGTCATCCCAATCCTGCTAAGTAATAGCAAATAAAAATAATTTTAAAGAACTTGCAATGTGCCAAGCAGTCCTAACTCTTAGTCTTACAGTCATTCATTCAATTCTCACAACTATCCTATGGAAAAAAATGCTGCAATTTTCCCCATTTTATGTGAATGTAGTAATGAACTGTTGGACAAGCCGCCATGAGGATGAGTTCTGTTGATTACAATCAGACTTTTGAAAACAAACAATGAAATCAAAGTCTCCATGGCTATTCCAAAGACACCAGCCAAACCAGCCTACTATTTTCCCCCACTCACTCAAAAAATTCTCCCCCAAACTCAACCCAACTATAATGGAACTGATGAGTCTCCCCTTCTTTTTTTTATTTTTTATTTTTTATTTTTTATTTATTTATTTTTTTGAGATGGAGTCTCTCTCTGTTGCCCAGGCTGGAGTGCAGTGGCACGATCTTGGCTCACTGCAAGCTCTGCCTCCCGGGTTCAGGCCAATCTCCTGCCTCAGTCTCCCAAGCAGCTGGGAATACCGGCGCACACCGCCACGCCCGGCTAATTTTTGTATTTTTTTTTTAGCAGAGACGGAGTTTCACCATGTTAGCCAGGATGGTCTGGATCTCCTGACCTTCTGATCTGACCACCTCGGCCTCCCAAAGTGCTGGGATTACAGGTGTGAGCCACCATGCCTGGCCTCTCTCCTTCTTTTTAAGCAGTGAGCAGGTTGCATATAAGCACCAAGTGGCAGAATGAAAAATAAACAAAAGCAGTGGTAGAATAAAAAGATGCTCCTTGCATCCCCAAAAGACTAGTGTCAGAATAGATTAGATTTAGTCCCTGCTATATTCACAAAGACTGAGGACTCTGGGCTCTTACAAGGTAACCTGAAGACAGGCAGAATGGTGTCCTGGGACTACCCAGGGCAGTACCTGTGTACATTCCATGGGGACTCAGTAGATACCGGTTTCCCACATATACTGGGCCCAGGGACTGGAAGCTGGCTTGGCTTCAGTTCTTTAAGTACTGTGTATTATCCAAATCACTTTGGCTCAGAAATAAAACAAAGTAGGCACTAAAAGACTCCCAAGACTCTAAGTCCAGCCCCAGAGGAGGCCACTAATGCCCAAAGAGGTAAAGAAACTAACTCCAAAGTCACTGGCCTAGCTCGGGTCACTCTGCAGTTCCCCCAACTCTTACCTGGATCATAGAACTATTATGAGTCTACAGCATATCAATTCATAAGGGTGTTTTTTAGAAACTTAAAATCAAACCATCTAAAAATGAGTACTGGTGGCAGTAGTGGCATTAGTTAGAAATGGCTTTTAAAGTCATAATGCATTTATGAACAGTAATTTAAATCCCTTTCCTGGTGATACTAGGACACAATCCCATGTTTGTACACAACACAGCCCTCCACTGCAAAGGCCCTCCAGGCAAGCAAACAGAGCCACAGCTCCCCAGGCCAGAAAGCAGACGGCCAAAGGAAGCTGCCAAGGGGTGGGACCACTTAACTGCCATATCTAAATGGAGAGCTCAAGACATAAGCCTCGCCTCAGGGGTTCTGGGACCACAGAACTTTGGATCAGGAGGGGACCCCAGGGGTCACTGAGCCACACCCCTTCTCTTACAGATAAGGAACCAGAAGTGCAGGGAAGGGTGCCTCATTTCAGGCACAGAGCAGCAAATGACAAAGCTGAGACACAAACCCTGGTTTCCTGACTCCTCACATAATATACATTATTCCTTGTGGCCAAATCTAGAAAAGAAACAGGCTACTGTATTTTTTTATTGCAGTAAAAAATATATAATATAAAATGTATCATTTCAACCCTCGTTAAGTGTACAGTTCAGTGGCATTAAGTACATTCACAAGGTTGTACAACCATCACCACTATTCATCTCCAGAAATTTTTCACGTTTCCAAACTGAAACTCTGCACCCATTAAACACTAATTTCACATCCTCCCTTTTGCCAGCTCCTGATAACCTCCAATCTACTTTCTGTCTCTATGATTTTACCTATTCTAGAAACCTATATAAGTGGAATCATGCAATGTTTGTCCTTTTGTGTCTGGCTTCTTTCATTTAGCACAGTGTTTTCAGGCTCATCCAGGTTATAGCATGTGTCAGAATTTCATTACTTTTTATGAATAAATAATATCCTATTGTGTGTTTAACACATTTTGCTTGCCCGTTCATCTATTAATGGGCACTTGGGTTGTGTCTACCTTTTGGCTACGATGAATAATGCTGCTATAAGCATTGGTGCACAAATATCTATTTGAGGTCTCAGGATGCAGTACTTAACTTTTTTTTGCTGTTTTAAACTAACTCTTACACAATGTATACTATGTGCCAGGCACTGTATGTTATAAACATGACCTCATTTAATTCTCATGATTCCTGTAAGTTAGGAACTACACGTATCTCCATTTTACAAAGAAGGAAACTGAGGCACTGAAAGATTAAGTAACTTTCCCAAGATTATAAAGTGACTAAGTGGCAAAGCCAAATTCAAACCCAAGCCACCTGGTTCAGGATGTGTAGGAGGCCAGAGCAGAGGAGGAACAGTTACAATAAATGGGCCTTCCAAGGGCTTCCCCTCAGGATGAAGGCCAAAGTCTTCACAGTGGTCCCCAAGGTCCATAAATTCTGTAATGCTCTCTCTCCTGATTCAGGATGTCTCCAACTTTGTTTCTTACCACTGTCCCCTCAACTCAGTCACTCCCACGTAGTCACAGAGAACTTCTGTTGTTCCTCAGACACATTGGGTACCCTTCCACCGCAGGGCCTTTGCGCTTGTTTATCCTCTGCCAGAACATTGGCACCCAATTGTCCTCACTCATCTCATTGGAGTTGTTGCTCAAATGTTAACTTCTCCAAAAAGGACTTCCCTCACACGCTTAAAATCGCAACTCCCAGACCCCCTTCCCTGTTTCATTTTTCTCCAGAGCATCTATCACCATTTAGTATACTAGAGGCTTTACATTTATTGTTGATGCCTCACACACTAGAATGTACACACTGTCTTGGCAGGAACTACTGTGTCCTCAGCACCCAGAACACTGCCAGTATAGCAGGCTGTCAATAAAAATTAGCTGGATGAATTAATACATAGCATCCATGTAGCACTTCACAGCTTACAAAACTTTTACATGAATATTATCCCACTTGGTCTTCATAAAATAACTGCAAACATCTCAGAGGAATCGCATCATGAAGGTGAGACTTTATAGCTCCTGCTCATCTGGAGAATATTCCTAGGGGTCTGAGGCATGGCTTGTACTTTCTGTGGGAACTTAGGGAGCACTGGGCCAGAAAACAGCCCCAGGATACCCAGTCAATGTCCTGGAAGCCTGGGAGCATGTGTATCCATGCTGCCTTAGGGAGGCAAGATGCCCTGCCCCTCCTTGGTGAAAGCCTGGAGGCAAAAACCACATTTCAGAATCAGAAATCCTTTCCCATTTGCTTTACTCTGCAACAAAAACTAGGGCGCTTATTTGTAAGGCAGTCACTGAGATACTCCTCGTTCTAGAAACTCCTGTATTACCCATCCCACTTTTGATGCAGAAATGTACTGCACAGCCTTCTCTGAGGCATCAACAACAGCCCTAGAGACACATCTCACAATAAACAAGGGAAAAACATGGCCCAAATTTGTGTTTTATTCTACACCTGCACTATTCTCAGCACCTCACTGCCACCCATAAGGCCCTTGTGGCCTGGCCCCTGCCTGCTCCTCCTGCCTTCTCTCCCGCCGTGTTCTCACACACCCGCACTCCAGTCACGCTGAACAACTTGAATTCCTCAGATCTGCTGTGGTCTGTCTTACCACCTGTCCTTCACGTAGGCGGGTTTCCATGCCCAAATGATGTCTCTTCTCACTGTCTTCCCCTTTCTGCTTTTCACCTAGCCAAGTCCCTACTTATCCTTCATTTTAGAACTCTTCCTTGACATCTCAGCCAGAGCGGCCCCACTCCCAAGCATCCAGCACACATTCCTGTTGTAAACTCCCCACAGTGCAATATCACCGCCAACTTACCTGTCCCCTCACCATCTTATATGTAACTATTAGACTGCTGAGGGCAGGCACCCTGTTAATTTCAAGACCAAAGCCCTAGAACCTACTGTTCTTGTGCCTGGTGCTAACAGGCACCATACAAATAATTGCTGAATGACTTTGGAAATTAGATCGACCTCTAAAGAGACAGCTTTTGAACAAGGGTGAGACCACCTGCCCTAGAGTTATCTTCTTCCTTACAGATCAATCCCTACCCCATTCATACCACTGGGTCTCTCGGCTGAAAAGCAAATGTTAAAGCTCAATTCTTGGCCAGGCGCGGTGGCTCATGCCTGTAATCCCAGCACTTTGGGAGGCCGAGGCGGGCGGATCACGAGGTCAGGAGATCGAGACCATCCTGGTGAACACGGTGAAACCCTTTCTCTACTAAAAATACGAAAAAAAAAAATTAGCCAGGCATGGTGGCGGGCACCTGTAGTCCCAGCTACTCGGGAGGCTGAGGCAGGAGAATGGCATGAACCTGGGGGGCGGAGCTTGCAGTGAGCAGAGATCACGCCACTGCACTCCAACCTGGGCAACACAGCAAGACTCTGTCTCAAAAAAAAAAAAAAGCTCAATTCTTCACCCTAAAATAAATAAATAACTTACATCAATCAGTCATATATATGATGTTCACTGAGATACACCACTGGTAAGCAAGAAGAACTGGGAACAGCCTACATAACCAACAATAGAAGAATTGTTAATTAAAAATAAATTAGCTTGGGCAAAAATTATAAGTTATCAGAAAAGTAAAATGAATAAGAGATTTGGGATCAGAAATCCTGGCTTTACTTGTTTGTTATCTGTGTGATCTTGAGCATATCACTTAATCACTATGAAAGTTCCATGGAATGAGAACACTCCATCTTATCACATGAGTTTTTGTCATAATAAATCGAGATAATTGCCCTCCATGGTGGCTGATGCCTGTAACCCCAGCACTTTGGGGTAGGGGTTGGGGGCAGATTGCTTGAGCTCAGGAGTTTGAGACCAGCCTGGGCCACATAGTGAGACCCCATCCCTATTAAAAAAAAAAAAAAGGAAAAAATTAGCCCGAGTGTGGTGGTACATGCCTGTGGTCCCAGCTACTCAGGAGGCTGAGACGGGAGGATCACTGAAGCCCAGGAGTTCAAGGCTGCAGTGAGCTGTGATACTCTAGCAACAGAGTAAGACCCTGTCTCTTTAAAAAAAAAAAAAAAGATAATGGATACAAAGCATTTTTTACATTATAAAGCAGTACAGAAATACATGCTCATTAAAATTAGTTATGATGACTACTATAGAAGAATGTTTGACAAAGAAAAGCTGTAGACAAAAATGAATATGGCTATGTAAATTATGTGCACATTTTAGATAAAGACAGGAAGGAAATAAGCAGAAATGAAAAATCATTGAGTTAAGGCAGGGGTCAACAAACATTTTCTGTAGAGGGCCAGACATCAGGCTTTGCTGGCCATACAGTCTCTGTCACAACTACTCAATGCTGCCATTATAGTCCAAAAGCAGCCATAGAAAATATCTAGATGGAGGTGGGGCACAGTGGCTCACACCTGTAATCCCAGCACTTTGGGAGGCTGAGGCGGGCGGATCACAAGGTCAGGAGATCGAGACCATCCTGGCTAACACACTGAAACCCTGTCTCTACTAAAAATACAAAAAAAAATTTAGCCAGGCATGGTGGTGGGCACCTGTAGTCCCAGCTACTCGGGAGGCTAAGGCAGGAGAATGGCGTGAACCCAGGAGGCATGCAGTGAGCCGAGATCACGCCACTGCCCTCCAGCCTGGGCCACAGAGCAAGACTCCATCTCAAAAAAAAGGAAAAAAAAAAAAAGAAAAAAATATCCAGATGAAGAAACATGCCCGGGTTATAACAAAACTTTATTTATGGATGCTAAAATTTGAATTTCATATCATTTTCTCATGTCACAAAATATTATCCCTCTCTTTTGACTTTCATCAACTATTCAAAAAAGTAAAAACCATTCTTAGCTCATGGGGTGTCCAAAAACAAATGGTGGGTTAGATTTGCCCTGTAGTTTGCTGACTCCTGGGATAGAGTGATATGTAATGAACAATTTTTTTATTATAATTTTCTTTAATGCTGTTATAGCCTTTTATACTTAAAGGGAAAAAAGATACCATGAACTCCCCAAGGACTGCCAGAGTAATTCAAAACCGACCAACCTCAGATTCAAACATGAGTCAGCTAGCCCTTCTGTCCTCTGCAAACACATGTCCCATATACCAAGGTGTCACAACCCTTCTCTCCTTGAGGAGCCCAGTACACATCTTGCTTATTCCTCAGCTTTGGCATTTCAAGTTCCTTTCCGATGTCTTTAACCCTGTCAGCCCAAATCTTACCACTTGCCTCAAGAACAAACCCTAAGCTCACCTACTCCAAGAAGTCTTCCTGCATCCAAAGAGATTACCCCTTTGCTTTATTAAGCAAAGTGAACATAGTTGTTGTTGTTTTAACACAGTCCTCAATTGTTACGTCCCAGTCTGTTTTCTCTCCCAACATGACAGTAACATCAAGGGCAGCACCCATGACCTCTGCTACTTTTCCACCTCCCACAGGTCCTGGCTCCTCTTAGAGGGGAACACGCAAAACAGCACTTCATAAATGCAATGAATCGGTTGCACCAGCCAATGCCCAGGTTTCTGCTGTTGATTTTAGTGATATGATCAGTGTTCTCTGCTGATCTGCCACAATTAGCTATATCGCCCATTATAATTGTTCATCTGGTCATTATTTTGGCACATTCCAAGCTGGTGCAAAGTAATTATATTCTAAACACGGAGCCGCTCACTCCAATTCCAGGCCTTGGCAACAACATTATGAGATAACATTATACGAAGATGCTATGAATCAATCAGCTAGGTATAAGGAGGATATTTAAAAGAAAGAATGGAAAAACGGCAAATCAACCATGTGAAACCTGCTTTAATCAAACAGAGTATACTTCTAAAACTAGAAGCCAGTGAGGAAAAGATTGCCAAGCCACACAGACACAAAGAGAACAAGAACAAAAACAGATGTATAAATAAGTCAGTTTCTCTCCCACCTTCATTCTTCTCTGAACACCAGGTAACAGCCTCTTCTTGGTCTCCCTCCAGAGTGCCACCTAGTGCCCAGGCAGGGGAGGGCAAGTGGGAAGCTGACAGCTGCTGTCACTTCACTTCTCAGTTTAGATTTCTTTTTTTTTTTTTTAATTATACTTTAAGTTTTAGGGTACATGTGCACATTGTGCAGGTTAGTTACATATGTATACATGTGCCATGCTGGTGCACTGCACCCACTAACTCGTCATCTAGCATTAGGTATATCTCCCAATGCTATCCCTCCCCCCTCCCCCACCCCACAACAGTCCCCAGAGTGTGATATTCCCCTTCCTGTGTCCAAGTGATCTCATTGTTCAATTCCCACCTATGAGTGAGAATATGCAGTGTTTGGTTTTTTGTTCTTGCGATAGTTTACTGAGAATGATGTTTTCCAATTTCATCCATGTCCCTACAAAGGACATGAACTCATCATTTTTTATGGCTGCATAGTATTCCATGGTGTATATGTGCCACATTTTCTTAATCCAGTCTATCATTGTTGGACTTTTGGGTTGGTTCCAAGTCTTTGCTATCAGTTTAGATTTCTTAAAGACAGGCCCTCAACAAGGGCTCCAGAATGTGTCCAATTACCACCGGCCACTTATTGGGACTATTAACTCATGTGACAGATATATCATCTCATTTTATCATCACAAGAACTCTATGAAGTATGTACTTTAATCTTCGATTTAATATAGAAACAACTGACAAATACTGGCTAAAAAGTGCTACTTATTGAGTGGCCTCAAGTGCCAGGCCCAGCCCTGGAGATTCAACACTAAGCAAAGCACAGGATCTCTGCCTTCATGGAACTTACCTTCTAGTGGGAGAAACAAAAATAAGCAAAAGAAAATAAAAGTTTAACAAGATTATATCTGAATGTGTAAAGTGCTATAAAGGACATTAAAAGGTTAAATGGGTAAAGAGTCATTCTTAATTAAAAGTCGGAGAGAAGGGGAGTATTTCCACACAGACTCAGCCTAAATGTGCAGTGAGAATCTCTGCAGACTCAAACAGCACAACTCAGGACATCCAAGAACCAGGGTGGACATGCTCTGTCCACAGGGCTACGACAGAAACTCCACTAGGGGCAGACCCCCTCTATACAGGTGTGCTGTGCGAAGAGTAGCTTGGGGGTGAGGGGGCATAGCCTGCGTGCATCCAGGAAAACTGAGAAAACATAAAGAGGAAACTACAGATAGGGTTTGTAAAGCATAAGATCCAGAGGGAAAATGAGATGGAAATACTTATGCTAATATATGTCAAGGAGAACGTTCTTGATGCTTTAGGAGCATTTGAACCTGCTGTGCATGTAATTTATGTAACAAGCCAGAGCTGCTGTGATCGCACTCCTCTGGCGTTTAGCTATTGGAAGCTATGCAATCTGCTGGCAGTTTGTCGGTTTGAGTTTACAACGCTGCCTAGCAGAAGCATTTCTTTCTAGATACTCTTCTTGTCATGGTTCCAGGGGTTAACGGGATCAGCTTTCCTCAGGCATAGAAAAACGTATTGGTAATAGGATAAAATCCAGTAGATTATGCTTTTTCTGTAATGGTGTAATTTTATTAAAATATCAAACCCTTATTACGATTATTATTTATTATATATAAAAAGAGATATGGTGTTCAGGGTAAGGACTAAAGCAACACAACCATATCAGTACAAATAGAATAACCCCCTGACTGAACTCAGGCCATCTCTCCTTCATCCTGTTAAATGAAAACAGCTATATGATGCACACTGTTGTCTTTTCTAGAACGTTCTCCTTACTCCCTCATGCAAAAGCCTTTCTTCTTTGAGCTTTAAGCCATGCGTTTCAGCCCCCTCTGGCCCTCCTTGTTATCTCTCTACCTTGTAGCCACTCTTTGTCACTCCCTGAGGACACTTGCGCGGGGTACACAGTCCTCCAAGTGCCCACATCTTCCTGTGTGACATTTCTTCAGTCACCCAGACAAGCTGCCTAGCACCTGAGCACTTGGTCTTCCTCTCTGTCTCTTTACCTCCTCTCTCCCTCAGCACCTACTGCCCAGGCAATATCTAAGGAATTGTCACTTCACAGGGTTGTACTAATTCTAAAATATCAAACACTGATATACTCATCTCTGGCCATAAACCCCTTCCCTCCAGCTCATTCACACCCTTATTCCTACTTCACCAGCCCTTGAAACTCAAATATACACCATATCTTTCCTTTCTCCCTGGTGCATAACTCCTTGATGATGTAACTTCCTTCCCCATAAAGCCTCATCTTTCTATCAGTCTATCCAGCAGAGATTTATGGAGTCCTTACTATGTGCAGGTGCTGATCTAAGCACAAACATCAAGCCTGGTCACTTTATGGAGCTTACACCTTGTGGAAGCATCAGACAAACCAATAATACTTGCAGTACAGCAACAGGAGAACATACAGAGCTCTGAGCTAGAATAAAGATTAAAGTGTGTCATTTCTGTTGCCCTCTAACAATCATTTTCAACATTCAGCCCTCTTGTCTTACTACTCCATGGCTCCCAAAAGTCCACTCTAACTTTGGATATTGTGGATCAACCCAAAGACTCACTCTTAGAGAAAAAAAAAAAAATCACATAAACCTGCCAAGTGTTCTTACTGCAAATTAATGGTTTCTAATTTCAGGCTAGCCTGTAGCTAAGGCTTCCATGTACAGTTGAGGTTGTAAACTTCACAACCCTTGGAATATCATTCAGGTAAACTATCATGAGAATATTATTGGTGTCTCTACTCTTGTGCATTACATAAGCTAGGCAACCATATGCAGTAGCTTCAACCACAGTAATATTTTTATGGAGGTTTTTATTTGGTTGGTTAATTGGTTGACTGGTTGGTTTTTGATTAGCTCCTTTTATAATGTGCTATTATAGCTGTTCCAACTTTTCATACTCAATTTCAAAAGGTACCCCAGCTTTTATTTGACCCAGATAATCAAAGCTATCAAATATCAACTCCCTCACAATCTTTCTCCCACACCTATTATTATTCCTATACCTATAGCTACCTTTCTATTTTCTTAGAGCAAAGGGTGAGACTTTTCCATTTTAAGGCTAAGCCCTCCAGCTCTGCTCTGGATTCCCTATCTTAAGGAACTCTATCACGTGAATATAAAGTATTTTGCTCCCTCCAGGCACAGACCATTTTCTGGAAATACAAATTCACACTTGGCCTCAACCTCCTCACCACTCAGGTTGAACCCAGGGCAAGCTGGCATCCACCCTCAGCACCCACGTGGGCTGTTCTCACCATAAGATTTCTATTAGATATACCAAAAGAAGCTTTTCAATCCTTGTGTATTTGCTGACAATTATCTTTCTCAAAATTTTGTCTTACCCTGGCTTCTGTGAAAACTCTCTCTTGGTTTTGCTCCAACTTTTCTGGCAATCTGGATCTCTCCCTTTCGCTGCATTTCCATAGCCCTCGTCTTCTCTTGCACGGAATACTCCAAAGCATTTCAGTTGGTCTCCCTGGCTCAGGTGTAACCTCCTCCAATCTGTCTCCATAAATAGAAATTCAGGATTCTTTCTAAAATTTTAATCGAATCCCGTCGTTTCCTGGCAGGAAATCCTCCAGTGGCTTTCCAGTGCCTACGAGTAAAATTCACACCCCCTGGGATGGCATTCAAAACCCTCTCTTATCCAGAACCTTCGATCTCTTACTTCTACTCTGCCTCTCTCCCTACTGACCTCTTTCACTGCCAGCTCCAGATACATTGAACTACTTGCAGTTCTCCTTATTCTTTCCTTTGCCTTCATAACTTAGCATAAGAGGTTCTCTTTTTAATTATACTTTCGGTTCTAGGGTACATGTGTACAATGTGCAGGTTTGTTATATAGGTATACATGTGCCATGTTGGTTTTCTGCACCCATCAACTCGTCATTTACATTAGGTATTTCTCCAAATGCTATCTCTCCCCCAGCCTCCCAGCCCCCCATCCCAAGACAGGCCCCAGTGTGTGATGTTCCCCGCCTTGTGTCCAAGTGTTCTCATTGTTCAGTTCCCACCTATGGGTGAGAACATGCGGTGTTTGGTTTTCTGTCCTTGTGACAGTTTGCTCAGAATGATGGTTTCCAGCATCGTCCATGTCCCAGAAAAGGGCATGAACTCATCATTTTTATGGCTGCATTGTATTCCATGGTGTATATGTGCCACATTTTCTTAATCCAGTCTATCATTGATGGACATTTGGGTTGGTTCCAAGTCTTTGCTATTGTGAATAGTGCTGCAATAAACATATATGTGCATGTGTCTTTATAGTAGAATGATTTATAATGCTTTGGGTATATACCCAGTAATGGGATTGCTGGGTCAAATGGTATTTCTAGTTCCAGATCCATGAGGAATTGCCACACTGTCTTCCACAATGGTTGAACTAATTTACACTCCCACCAACAGTGTAAAAGCATTCCTATTTCTCCACATCCTCTCCAGCATCTGTTGTTTCCTGACTTTTTAATGATCGCCATTCTAACTGGCATGAGATGATATCTCATTGTGGCTTTGATTTGCATTTCTCTGATGACCAGTGATGATGACCATTTTTTCATGTGTCCGTTGGCTGCACAAATGTCTTCTTTTCAGAAGTGTCTGTTCATATCCTTTGCCCACTTTTTGATGGGGTTGTTTTTTTCTTGTAACTTTGTTTAAGTTCTTTGTAGATTCTGGATATTAGCCCTTTGTCAGATGAGTAGATTGCAAAAATTTTCTCCCATTCTGTAGGTTGCCTGTCCACTCTGATGGTAGTTTCTTTTGCTGTGCAGAAGCTCTTTAGCTTAATTAGATCCCATTTGTGAATTTTGGCTTTTGTTGCCATTGCTTTTGGTGTTTTACTCATGAAGTCTTTGCCCATGCCTATGTCCTGAATGGTATTGCCTAGGTTTTCTTCTAGGGTTTTTACGGTTTTAGGTCTCACATTTAAGACTTTAATCCATCTTGACTTAATTTTTGTATAAGGTGTAAGGAAGGGATCCAGTTTCAGCTTTCTACATATGGCTAGCCAGTTTTCCCAGCACCATTTATTAAACAGGGAATCCTTTCCCCATTTCTTGTTTTTGTCAGGTATGTCAAAGATCAGATGGTTATAGATGTGTGGTGTTATTTCTGAGGCCTCTGTTCTGTTCTATTAGTCTGTATATCTGCTTTGGTACCAGAAGCATGCTGTTTTCACTACTGTAGCCTTGTAGTGTAGTTTGAAGTCAGGTAGCGTGATGCCTCCAGCTTTGTTCTTTTGGCTTAGGATTGTCTTGGCTATGTGGACTCTTTTTTGGTTCCATATGAACTTTAAAGTAGTTTTTTCCAATTCTGTGAAGAAAGTCATTGGTAGCTTGATGGGGATGGCATTGAATCTGTAAATTATCTTGGGCAGTATGGCCATTTTCACGATATTGATTCTTCCTGTCCATGAGCATGGAATGTTCTTCCATTTGTTTGTGTCCTCTTTTATTTCAGTAAGCAGTGGTTTGTAGTTCTCCTTGAAGGGGTCATTCACATCCCTTGTAAGATGGATTCCTAGGTATTTTATTCTCTTTGTAGCAATTGTGAATTGGAGTTCACTCATGATTTGGCTCTCTGTTTGTCTGTTGTTGGTGTATAGGAATCCTTGTGATTTTTGCACATTGATTTTGTACCATGAGACTTCACTGAAGTTGCTTATCGGCTTAAGGAGATTTTGGGCTGAGATGATGGGGTTTTCTAAATATATGATCATGTCATCTGTAAACAGGGACAATTTGACTTCCTCTTTTCCTAATTGAATACCCTTTATTTCCTTCTCCTGCCTGATTGCTCTGGCCAGAACTTCCAATACTATGTTGAATAGGAGTGGTGAGAGAGGGCATCCCTGTCTTGTGCCAGTTTTCAAAGGGAATGTTTCCAGTTTTTGCCCATTCAGTATGATATTGGCTGTGGGTTTGTCATAGATAGCTCTTATTATTTTGAGATACGTCCCATCAGTACCTAGTTTATTGAGAGTTTTTGGCATGAAGGGCTGTTGAATATTGTCAAAGGCCTTTACAGCATCTATGGAGATAATCGTGTGGTTTATGTCGTTGGTTCTGTTTATGTGATGGATTACGTTTACTGATTTGAGTATGTTGAATAAGACTTGCATCCCAGGGATGAAGCCAACTTGATCATGGTGGAAAAGATTTTGATGTGCTGTTGGATTCGGTTTGCCAGTATTTTATTGAGGATTTTCACATCGATGTTCATCAGGGATATTGGTCTAAAATTCTCTTTTTTTGTTGTGTCTCTGCCAGGCTTTGGTATCAGGATGATGCTGGCTTCATAAAATGAGTTAGTGAAGATTCCCTCTTTTTCTATTGATTGGAATAGTTTCAGAAGGAATGGTACAAGCTCCTCTTTGTACCTCTGGTAGAATTCAGCTGTGAATCTGTCTGGTCCTGGAGTTTTTTTTTTTTTTTTTTGGAGGGTAGGCTATTAATTACTGCCTCAACTTCAGAACCTGTTATTCGTCTATTCAGAGATTCCACTTCTTCCTGGTTTAGTCTTGGGAGGGTATATGTGTCCAGGAATTTATCCATTTACTCTAGATTTTTTAGTTTATTTGCATAGAGGTGTTTATAGTATTCTCTGATGGTAGTTTGTATTTCTGTGGGATTGGTGGTGATATCCCCTTTTCATTTTTTATTGTGTCTATTTGATTCTTCTCTCTTTTCTTCTTTATTAGTCTTGCCAGCTGTCTATCAATTTTGTTGATCTTTTCAAAAAATCAGCTCCTGGATTCATTGATTTTTTTGAAGGATTTTTCGTTTCTCTATCTCCTTCAATTCCACTCAGATCTTAGTTATTTCTTGCCTTCTGCTAACTTTTGAATTTGTTTGGTCTTGCTTCTGTAGTTCTTTTAATTGTGATGTTAGGGTGTCGATTTTAGATATTTTCTGCTTGCTCTTGTGGGCACTTAGTGCTATAAATTTCCCTCTACACACTGCTTTAGCTGTGTCCCGGAGAATCTGGTACATTGTGTCTTTGTTCTCATTGGTTTCAAAGAACTTGTTTCTTTCTGCCTTAATTTCGTTATTTACCTAGTAGTCATTCAGGAGCAGACTGTTCAGTTTCCATGTAGTTGTGAAGTCTTGAGTGAGTTTCTTAATCCTAAGTTCTAATTTGATTGCACTGTGGTCTGAGACACAGTTTGTTGTGATTTCTGTTCTTCTACATTTGCTGAGGAGTCCTTTATGTCCAATTATGTTGTCAATTGTAGAAAAAGTGCGATGTGGTTCTGAGAAGAATGTATATTCTGTTGATTTGGGGTGGAGAGTTCTGTAGATGTCTATTAGGTCCACTTGGTACAGAGCTGAGTTCAAGTCCTGGATATCCTTCTTAACCTTCTATCTCCTTGATTTGTCTAATATTGACAATGGGGTGTTAAAATCTCCCATTATTATTGTGTGGGAGCCTAAGTCTCTTTGTAGGTCTCTAAGGACTTCCTTTATGAATCTGGGTGCTCCTGTATTCAATGCATATATATTTAGGTTAGTTAGCGCTTCTTGTTGAATTATTCTCTTTACCATTATGAAATGGCCTTCTTTATCTCTTTTGATCTTTTTTGGTTTAAAGTCTGTTTTATCAGAGACTAGGATTGCAACCCATGCTTTTTTTGCTTTCCATTTGCTTGGTAGATCTTCCTCCATCCGTTTATTTTGGGCCTATGTGTGTCTCTGCACATGAGATGGGTCTCCTGAATACAGCACACTGATGGGTCTTGCCTCTTTATCCAATTTGCCAGTCTGTGTCTTTTAATTGGGGCATTTAGCCCATTTACATTTAAGGTTAATATGGTTATGTGTGAATTTGATCCTGTCATTATGATGGTAGCTGGTTATCTTGCTCATTAATTGATGCAGTTTCTTCATAGCATCAATGATCTTTACAATTTGGCATGTTTTTGTAGTGGCTGGTACTGTTGTTCCTTTCCATGTTTAGTGCTTCCTTCAGGAGCTCTTGTAAGGCAGGCCTGGTGGTGACAAAATCTCTCAGCATTTGCTTGTCTGTAAAGGATTTTATTTCTCCTTCACTTATGAAACTTAGTTTGGCTGGATATGAAATTCTGGGTTGAAAATTCTTTTAAGAATGTTGAATATTGGGCCCCACTCTCTTCTGGCTTGTAGGGTTTCTGCTGAGAGATCTGCTGTTAGTCTGACAGGCGTCCCTTTGTGGGTAACTTGACCTTTCACTCTGATTGCCCTTAACATTTTTTCCTTCATTTCAACGTTGGTGAATCTGACAATTATGTGACTTGGGGTTGCTCTTCTCAAAAAGTATCTTTGTGGGGTTCTCTGTATTTCCTGAATTTGAATGTTGGCCTGCCTTGCCTGGTTGGGGAAGTTCTTCTGGATAATATCCTGCAGAGTGTTTTCCAACCTGGTTCCATTCTCCCCATCACTTTCAGGTACACCAATCAAACGTAGATTTGGTCTTTTCACATAGTCCCAAATTTCTTGGAGGCTTTGTTCATTTCTTTTTACTCTTTTTTCTCTAATCTTGTCTTCTTGCTTTACTTCATTAATTTGATCTTCAATCACTGATATCCTTTCTTCCACTTGATCAAATTGGCTACTGAAGCTTGCGCATGCATCACAAAGTTCTCCTACCACGGTTTTCAACTCCATCAGGTCATTTAGGGTCTTCTCTACACTGTTTATTCTAGGTAGCCATTCGTCTAACCTTTTTTCAAGGTTTTTAGCTTCCTTGCGATGGGTTAGAACATGCTCCTTTAGCTCAGATAACTTTGTTATTACCGGCCTTCTGAAGCCTACTTCTGTCAACTTGTCAAAGTTATTCTCCATCCAGCTTTGTTCCATTTCTGGCGAGGAGCTGCGATCCTTTGGAGGAGAAAATGTGCTCTGGTTTTTAGAATTTTCAGCTTTTCTGCTCTGGTTTCTCCCCATCTTTGTAGTTTTTATCTACCTTTGGTCTCTGATGTTGGTGACCAATAAATGAGGTTTTGGTGTGGATGTCCTTTTTGTTGATATTGATGTTATTCCTTTCTGTTTGTTAGTTTTCCTTCTAACAGTCAGGTCTCTCAGCTGCAGGTCTGTTGGAGCTTGCTGGAGGTCCACTCCAGACCCTGTATGCCTGAGTATCACCAGCAGAGGCTGCAGAACAGCAAATATTGCTGCCTGATCCCTCCTCTGGAAGCTTTGTCCCAGAGGGGCACCCGCCTATATGAGGTGTCTGTCAGTCCCTACTGGGAGGTGTGTCCCAGTTAGGCCACATGGGGGCCAGGGACCCACTTGAGGAGGCAGGCCGTCCGTTCTCAGAGCTCAAACGCCATGCTGGGAGAACCACTGCTCTCTTCAGAGCTGACAGACATAGATGTTTAAGTCTGCAGAAGTTGTCTACTGCCTTTTGTTCAGCTATGCCCTGTCCACAGAGGTGGAGTCTAGAGGCAGTAGGCCTTGTTGAGCTGCAGTTCGAGCTTCCCAGCCACTTTATTTACCTACTCAAGCCTTAGCAATGGCAGACGCCCCTACATGCCCCCACAGGCTGCAGCCTCACAGGTCAATCTCAGACTGCTGCACTAGCAGTGAGCAAGGCTCCATGGGCATGGGACCCACTGATCCAGGCATAGGAGAGAATCTCCTGGTCTGCCAGTTGCTAAGACCATGAGAAAAGCACAGTATTTAGGCGGGAATGTACCAATCTTCCAGGGACAGTCTGTCATGGCTTCCCTTGGCTAGGAAAGGGAAATCCCCCGACCCTTTGCACTTCCCAGGTGAGGCAATGCCCCGCCCTGCTTCAGCTCGCCCTCCATGGGCTATACCCACTGTCCAACCAGTCCCAATGAGATGAACCAGGTACCTCAGTTGGAAATGCAGAAATCACCCGTCTTCTACATCAATCATGCTGGGAACTGCAGACTGGAGCTGTTCCTATTTGGCCATCTTGGAATGGACAAGAGGCTCTCTTTGCCAGAAATGTTCTTTATCACCAGCAACATTTTATTAAATTTATTACTTAATGTTCACATGCATAAAATAATTATGAAATGTATATGTCACATAAAAACAATGAATCCACTATGCAGCCTGAGGACTAGAACATCACCAATTTTAATTGCATCTACCCATGTGCTCTTTCCCAGCCTCCTCCAAGAAGTAACTATTACCTATATCATAAATTTTAGGTTTCCATTTCTCTTGCTTTACATAAAAATTTACTGAGGTACAGTAATTTTTGCACATCCATCAAACCATCACCACAATCAAGATAATGGCATTTCATGACCACAAAATGTTCCCCTCACCACTTTGTAATCTCCCATCCTTCAGCATGCTCTCTCCACCTCTTTCCCCAGGCAACCACAATGTGCTTTCTGCCACTATAGATCAGTTTGCATTTTCTAGAATTTTTATTTAAATTGAATCATACAGTGTACACTCTGACTTCTTTAACTCAGAAAAAGTATTTTAGAATTCATCTACATTGTTGCATATGTCAACAGTTCATTCCTTTGTATTGCTGAGTAGTAGCCTATTGTATAAATGCATCACAATATACTTACCCATTACCTATTGAGGATGTTTGGATTTTTCCCTTAAAAAATATATAAAGCTGCTATGAAGATCTGTGTACAAGTCTTTATATAGTCACATGCTATATTTCTCTTCAGTAAATAAAAGTCAAGTAGCAGGGTCACATAATAGGTATATATTTGATTTTTAAAGAAACATCCAAACTGTTTTCTAAAATGATTATTCTATTTTATGTTCCTACCAGAAATGTAGGAGAGTTCTGGTTCCTCCATATCAACACTTGGTATGGTCAGTTTTTAATTTTAACCATTCTAATAGGTACATAGTGGTTTCTTGTAGTTTTAGTGTCATTTCTTGATAACTAATTGATGCTGAGCTTTTTTCTTATCTCTTGAACATATACAATGCAGTTATAATAGTTGTTTTAATGCCTTGTTTGCTAATTTTATCATCTGTATCATGTCTGGGTCAGTTTTCATGTGCTTATTTGCCATCTTCATATCTGCTTTGATGAAATGTCTGTTAAAATCTTTTGTCTATTTTTTATTGGGTGTTTGTCTTATTGAGTTTTAAGAGTTCTTTCCATATTTTGGCTAAAAGTTTTCATTAGATACACGACTTGCAAATTTTTTTTTTTCCCAGCATGAGGCTTGTCTTTTTATTCTTGTAACAGCATCCTTCAAAGAGCAGATTTTTTTTCAGGCATTTTTTTCCTTTATTTCATTGGGACAGTTTATGCTTAAATGCCCTCAAGATTACTAATTTTTTCTTCTCTATTTTCTAATCCAGTATAAAACCCATTCGACATGTTTTTTCCTTTGTAATAGTTTCATCTCTAGAAGTCTGATGAGTCCTTTTTATATCTTTCATGATTCCACTTATTATGCTCAGTCTTTTCTCTTGTTTCCTGAATATACAGAATACAGTTATAGAGCCCGGGCACAGTGGCTCGAGCCTGTAATCCCAGCACTTTGGGAGGCCAAGGCGGGTGGATCACCTGAGGTCGGGAGTTCAAGACCAGCCTGACCAACATGGAGAAACCCCTTCTCTACTAAAAATAAAAAATTAGCCAGGCATGGTGGTGCATGCCTATAATCCCAGCTACTTGGGAGGCTTAGGCAGGTGAATCGCTTGAACCTGGGAGGCAGAGGTTACAGGGAGCTGAGATTGCACCATTGCACTCCAACCTGGGAAACAAGAGCAAAACTGTCTCAAAAAAAAAGAAAAAAAAAAAGAATACAGTTATAATAATTGTTTTAATGCCTTGTCTGATAATTTTATCATCTGTAGTTTTTCCATGCTAGTTGATGGGAACTATTTACAGCTCTGTGTGTACTCCAAGTATTGCTCTCTCTAATCCTTTTGGGTGGCCCTTTCCTTGACTTCAAGTAGTTTTTACACAGGCCTGCTATGATCACTACTCAGCTGAAGACTAAAGGGGGACCCTTTGCAGCTCTCTGCAACTTTCTCTCTGTGCAATTTTCTTCTCTCTGGTGCTACACTTTGGCCTACCTATACTCCTAGTTCCATCTCCTTACTCAGGAAGACTGCTGAGCTCTGCCTGGACTCCCCCTCCCTATGGCATGGCCTCTTCAGGCAGTAAGCCAGGGAATTATAAGGCTCAGATTGTTTTTCAGCCCTCAAGATCATTCTCCTTGATTGTCTGATACCTGATGGTTTGAAAACTGTCATTTCATATATCTTTTCCATTTTTTTCATTGCTTCAGGAGGATGGGTCCCTATTACTTCATCTTGGCAGAAATGGAGTGTGTTCTCCTCCTGTCCCCTGCTATCTCTCCATTTTTAACAAATGTACAGATCCTTAAATAATGTTATTTAGTTTTTATTGTTCTTAAGCTTTATAAACACACTATATGTTATGCAATCCCCTGGGTTTTATTTAATTTTATTCAATGTCATGTTGTTAACCATCAATCATGCTGCTGCAGATAACTATAGTTTATTCATTTTTAGCACTGGATAACATTCCATTGGGTGAATATACCACCCAATGGAATTTTATTTCATATTGATGGAGATCTGGGTTGTTTCCAGGTTTTTAATCATAAAAACAATGCTGCTATGAGCATCCTTGAACATGCCCCTGATGCAACTTTGCATGAGACTCTAGGCATGAGTCTCATACCTAGGAATAAGATTGCTAGATTTTATACTGTCTTGTCACATGCTTGTTATTTCAGGTTCTCAGACTTTTTACATTTTGTGATCTATTGAGCATCTAACAGTATCTAGTTGCAGTCTTATTTGTGTTTCTCTGGTTACATATGAGGTAAAGTATCGTTTCGTATGTTGGTAGTCATTTGTGCTTCCTCTTCAGTGTGATGGCTGCTCACGTGTTTTGCCTATTAATTTACTGGGTTCTTTGCCATTTTCTTATTGCTTTGTGGAACTTTTCTTTAAAAAAGTATTCCCAAATCGTAACTTATCTTTTCATTTTCTTCATGCTGTCTCTGCTGAATAGAAATTCTTAATTGTAATGTGGTCAAATGCATCAAATTTACATTAGCTTTTTTTGGTAACTGCCTTAAGAAACCCTCTACTGGGGCCTGACTCTTAGAAGGAAAACTAAAAAAAACAGAAAAGAAGAGCATCAACATCAACAAAAGGGACGTCCACGCAGAAACCCTGTCCGAAGGTCACCAACATTAAAGTCCAAAGGTAGATAAATCCACGAAGATGGGGAGAAATCAGTGCAAAAACACTGAAAATTCCAAAAAGCAGAATGCCTCTTCTCCTCCAAAGGATCACAACTCCTCACCAGCGAGGGAACAAAACTGGATGGAGAATGAGTTTGACAAATTGACAGAAATAGGCTTCAGAAGGTCGGTAATAACAAACTCCTCTGAGCTAAAGGAGCATATTCTAACCAAATGCAAGGAAGCTAAGAACCTTCAAAAATGGTTAGTAGAGGAATTGCTAACTAGAACAACCAGTTTATAGAAGAACATAAATGACCTGATGGAACTGAAAAACACAGCGCAAGAACTTCATGAAGCATACACAAGTATCAATAGCCGAATTGATCAAGCGGAAGAAAGGACATCAGAGATTGAAGATCAACTTAATGAAATAAAGCATGAAGACAAGATTAGAGAAAAAAGAATGAAAAGGAATGAACAAATGCTAAAAGAAGTATGGGAATATGTGAAAAGACCAAACCTACATTTGATTGGTGTACCAGAAAGTGACTGGGAGAATGAAACCAAGTTGGAAAACACTCTTCAGGATATTATCCAGGAGAACTCCCCCAATAGAGCAAGACAGGCCAACATTCAAATTCAGGAAATGTAGAGAACACCACAAAGATAATCCTTGAGAAGAGCAACTCCAAGACACATAATTGTCAGATTCACCAACGTTGAAATGAAGGAAAAAATGTTAAGAGCATCCAGAGAGAAAGGTTGGGTTACCCACAAAGGGAAGCCCATCAGACTAACAGCAGATCTCTCGGCAGAAACCCCACAAGCCAGAAGTGGGGACCAATAATCAACACTTAAAAAGAAAATAATTTTCAACCCAGAATTTTATATCCAGACAAACTAATCTTCATAAGGAAGGAGGAATAAAATCCTTTACAGACGAGCAAATGCTGAGAGATTTTGTCACCACCAGGCCTGCCTTACAAGAGCTCCTGAAGGAAGCACTAAACATGGAAAGGAACAACTAGTATCAGCCACTGCAAAATCATGCCAAATTGTAAAGACCATTGACACTATGAAGAAACTGCATCAATTAACAGGCAGAAAAACTAGCTAACAACATAATGACAGGATCAAATCCACACATAACAATATTAAAAAACTACCATCAGAGAATACTATAAACACCTCTATGCAAATAAACTAGAAAATCTAGAAGAAATTGATAAATTCCTGGACATATACCCTCTCCCAAATCTAAACCAGGAAGAAGTCGAATGCCTGAATAGACCAATAACCAGATCTGAAATTGGGACAGTAATTAATAGCCTACAAATCAAAAAAAGTCCAGGATCTGACAGATTCACAGCCAAATTCTACCAGAGATACAAGAGGAGCTGGTACCATTCCTTCTGAAACTATTCCAATTAATAGAAAAACAGGGACTCATCCCTAACTCATTTTATGAGGCCAGCATCATCCTGATATCAAAACCTGGCAGAGACACAACAAAAAAAGAAAATTTCAGGCCAATATCCCTGACGAACATCAATGCAAAAATCCTCAATAAAATACTGGCAAACCGAATCCAGCAGCACATCAAAAAGCTTCTCCACCATGATCAAGTCAGCTTCATCCCTGAGATGCAAGGCTGGTTCAATATACACAATCAATAAACATAATCCATCACAAACAGAACCAATGACAAAAACCACATGATTATCTCAATAGATGCAGAAAAGGCTTTCGATAAAATTCAACACTACTTCATGCTAAAAAACTGTCAGTCAACTAGGTATTGATGGAACATATCTCAAAATAACAAGAACTATTTATGACAAACCCACATTTAATATCATACTGAATGGGCAAAAACTGGAAGCATTCCCTTTGAAAACCAGCACGAGACAAGGATGCCCTCTCTCCACCACTCCTATTCAACATAGTGTTGGAAGTTCCAGCCAGAGCAATCAGGCAAGAGAAAGAAATAAAGGGTATTTAATTAGGAAAAGAGGAAGTCAAATTGTCCCTGTTTGCAGATGACATGATTGTATATTTAAAAAACCCCATCATCTCAGCCCAAAATCTCCTTAAGCTGATAAGCAACTTCAGCAGTCTCATGGTAAAAAAAATCAGTGTGCAAAAATCACAAGCATTCTTTCTTCACAGAATTAGAAAAAACTACTCTAAGTTTCATATGGCACCAAAAAAGAGCCCACATAGCCAAGATGATCCTCAGCAAAAAGAACAAAGCTGGAGGCATCATACTACCTGACTTCAAACTATACTACCAACTATACACCAATAATTACACAGAGTCAAATCTTGAGAGAACTCCCATTCACAATTGCTACAAAGAGAGTGAAATACCTAGCAATACAACTTACAAGGGATGTGAAGGACCTCTTCAAGGAGAACTACAAACCACTGCTCAAGGAAATAAGAGAGGACATAAACAAATTGAAAAACATTCCATGCTCATGGATAGGAAGAATCAGTATCATGATAATGACCATACTGCCCAAAGTAATTGATAGATTCAATGCTATCCCCATCAAGCTACCATTGACTTTCTTCACAGAATTAGAAAAAAACTACTTTAAATTTCATATGGAACCAAAAAAGAGTCCACATAACCAAGATAATCCTAAGCCAAAAGAACAAAGCTGGAGGTATCACGCTACCTGACTTCAAACTATATTACAAGGCTACAGTAACCAAAACAGCATGGTACTGGTACCAAAACAGATATACAGACCAATGGAACAGAATAGAGGCCTCAGAAATAACACCACACATCTACAACCATCTGATCTTTGACAAACCTGACAAAAACAAGAAATGGGGAAAAGGTTCCCTATTTAACAAATGGTATTGGGAAAACTGGCTAGCCATATGCAGAAAACTGAAACTGAACCCCTTCCTTACACCTTATACAAAAATTAACTCGAGATGGATTAAAGACTTAAACATAAGACCTAAAACCACAAAAACCCTAGAAGAAAACATAGGCAATACCATTCAGGACATAGGCATGGGCAAAGACTTCATGACTAAAACACCAAAAGCAATGGCAACAAAAGCCAAAATTGACAAATGGGATTTAATTAGACTAAAGAGCTTCTGCACAGCAAAAGAAACTACCATCAGAGTGAAGAGGCAACCTACAGAATGGGAGAAAATTTTTGCAAGCTACTCATCTGACAAAGGGCTAATATGCAGAATCTACAAAGAACTTATTTACAAGAAAAAGCCATCAAAAAGTGGGCAAAGGATATGAACAGACACTTCTCAAAAGAAGACATTTATGCAGCCAACAGACACATGAAAAAATGCTCATCATCACTGGTCATCAGACAAATGCAAATCAAAACCACGAGATACCATCTCACGCCACTTAGAATGGCAATCATTAAAAAGACAGGAAACAACAGATGCTGGAGAGGAGGCAGAGAAATAGGAACGCTTTTACACTGTTGGTGGGAGTGTAAATTAGTTCAACCATTGTGGAAGACAGTGTGGCAATTTCTCAGGGATCTCAAACTAGAAATACCATTTGACCCAGCAATTCCATTAATGGGTACATACCCAAAGGATTATAAATCATTCTACTATAAAGACACATGCACATGTATGTTTATTGTGGCACTGTTCACAATAGCAAAGACTTGGAACCAACGAAATGCCCATCAATGATAGACTGGATAAAGAAAATATGGCTTATATACACCATGGAATATTATGCAGCCATAAAAAACGATTGAGTTCATGTCAAACTAACACAAGAACAGGAAACCACACACCACATGTTCTCACTCATAAGTGGGAGTTGAACAATGAGAACACATGGACACAGGGAGGGGAACATCACACACTAGGGACTGTCAGGGGTTGGGGGGCTAGGGGAGGGATAGCATTAGGAGGAATACATAATGTAGATCATGGGCTGATGGGTGCAGCAAGCCACCATGGCATGTGTATACCTATGCAACAAAGCTGCATGTTCTGCACATGTACCCCAGAACTTAAAGTAAAATAAAGTAAAATACAATCAAATTGTAAAAAAATAGTAAAAAGATACCCTCTGCTATGCAAAGGATATAAGGGGTTTTCCTAAAAGTTTGAAAGTTTTGCCTTTCACACTTAAGACAAATGACTTAAGCTTTTATTTTATCTGAAGCTTCTTGTTTACATGTGATATGAGGGAGAAAAAAAATCACTTTATCTCTACAAATAATCAAATATCCCAGAACCAGTTATTGAGTGGTCCTTCCTTACCCTAGTGACCTGTGATGCTACCTTTATTCTTCATATTTCCTGATATACGGATCTGTTTCTCTTCAGTTCCATCTGTCAATTTGTCTATCCTGAATCAATACCATATTGTCCCAATTATTAGGTTATAAGAAGTCTTAATTTCTGTCAGAGAATATCCTTTCACTTAATTTTTCTTCATTCGTTTCTTCCTTCGCAATCCTTACAACTATTTCTTTTTTCTCTCTTACTGTATTGGTTAGGAATTTGAACAAAATATTGACTTGAAGCTATGACAGTGAACATTGTCTTGTTCTCAATTTTTTTTTCTTTTTTTTTTATTATACTTTAAGTTTTAGGGTACATGTGCACATTGTGCAGGTTAGTTACATATGTATACATGTGCCATGCTGGTGCACTGCACCCACTAACTCGTCATCTAGCATTAGATATATCTCCCGATGCTATCCCCGCCCCCTCCCACCACCCCACAACAGTCCCCAGAGTGTGATATTCCCCTTCCTGTGACCATGTGATCTCACTGTTCAGTTCCCACCTATGAGTGAGAATATGCGGTGTTTGGTTTTTTGTTCTTGCGATAGTTTACTGAGAATGATGATTTCCAATTTCATCCATGTCCCTACAAAGGACATGAACTCATCATTTTTTATGGCTGCATAGTATTCCATGGTGTATATGTGCCACATTTTCTTAATCCAGTCTATCATTGTTGGACATCTGGGTTGGTTCCAAGTCTTTGCTATTGTGAATAATGCCGCAATAAACATACGTGTGCATGTGTCTTTATAGCAGCATGATTTATAATCCTTTGGGTATATACCCAGTAATGGGATGGCTGGGTCAAATGGTATTTCTAGTTCTAGATCCCTGAGGAATCGCCACACTGACTTCCACAATGGTTGAACTAGTTTACAGTCCCACCAACAGTGTAAAAGTGTTCCTATTTCTCCACATCCTCTCCAGCACCTGTTGTTTCCTGACTTTTTAATGATTGCCATTCTAACTGATGTGAGATGGTATCTCATTGTGGTTTTGATTTGCATTTCTCTGATGGCCAGTGATGATGAGCATTTTTTCATGTGTTTTTTGGCTGCATAAATGTCTTGTTTAGAGAAGTGTCTGTTCATGTCCTTCGCCCACTTTTTGATGGGGTTGTTTGTTTTTTTCTTGTAAATTTGTTTGTGTTCATTGTAGATTCTGGATATTAGCCCTTTGTCAGACGAGTAGGTTGCAAAAATTTTCTCCCATTTTGTAGGTTGCCTGTTCACTCTGATGGTAGTTTCTTGTCTTGTTCTCAATTTTAAATAAAATGTTCTTAAAATATCCCCCCATTACAATGATGTTTTCAGAAGATTTTTAGTAGATATTCCTTATCAAATTAAGGACATCCCTTTTTATTCCTAATTTGCTAAGAGCTTTTATCAGGAAATGTTTTTGACTTTTTGCCTTCTCTGCATCTTTAATTATACGGATTATTTCCTTTCATCTGTTAATGTAATAAATCAGATTTATAAATTTTCTAATATTAAACCACCTGTATATTCTTGGAATAAATTCAACTTTATTATGACACATTACCTTTTCTGTACATTATGAATTCTTATTTACTCTTTTTTGGTTATAAATTTTTCATCCATCCTCATGAGTGAGGTTAACCTATAATTTTACTTTTCTACACCATGCTTATGTGTTTTGGTTTTGTGATTTTACTGATCTTACAGAATGAATTGAGAATATTCCTTCTTTCTCTATTACCTGAAAAACTTTACATATAAAAACTTTTTATATAAAACTTTATATAAGACTAGAATAATATATATCTTGAAAATTTGGTAGCACTCATCTATAAAATCACCTGGTACTTACATTTTCTTCATTAGAAGTTATATGCCACTTCAATTATTAACAATTATAGGGCAATAAGTTTTTCTATTATTTTAATTGAGTCGTTTATCTCCCCTAGGAATTTTATTATTTGGTCTAAGTTTTCAAACATACTGCTCTAAATGCTTAATTTTCTCTTACTGTCTTCTAAAACTCTATTATATTTGTAGAACTGCCTTGATTTAGGCCTAACGTTGTTTGGTCTGAGCCTTCTCACCAAAGTTTTATCATTTTTGTGAGTCTTTTCAAACAATCAACTTTTGATATTGCTAATCTTGCCTGTGTATTTTTTTAAATCTTTAATTTCTACTTTCATCTTTAGCTTCCTCCTACTTTTAAATAATTTGTTTTTTTAAACTATCATTGAATGCTTGTTATTTTTAAATCTTTCTTCTTTGATATCTTAAATTTCCATCTAAGTAATGTCTTAGCCTCATCCCACAACTTTTTTTCATTTTGTTTTTGTTTTTGAGACAGGGTTGCACTCTGTAATCCATGCTGGAGTACAGTGACATGATATCTGCCCATTGCAGCCTCAATATCCCAGGCTCAAGTGATCCTCCCACCTCAGCCTACTGAGTAGCTGGGACTATAGGCACATGCCACCACACCAAACTAATTTTGTTTTGTTTTGTTTTGTTTTTTTCTCCTGCTTTTATTTTTTTTTTATTTTCCTAAGTTCCAGGATACATGTGCAGAATGTGCAGGTTTGTCACATAGGTATACCTGTGCCATGGTGGTTTGCTGCACCTATTAACCTGTCACCTAGGTTTTAAGCCTTGCACACATTAGCTATTTGTCCTGATATTCTCCCTCCCCTTGTCCCCCACCCCCAACAGGCCCCGGTGTATGATGGTCCCCTCCCTGTGTCTATGTGTTCTCATTGTTCAACTCCCACTTATGAGTGAGAACATGTGGTGTTTGTTTCCTGTTCGTGTTTAGTTTCCCATTCCTGTGTGGTTTCCTGTTCCTGTGTTAGTTTGCTGAGGATGATGGCTTCCAGCTTCATCCATGTCCCCGCAAAGGACATGATAAGACCACATATCTACAACCATCTGATCTTCAACATACCTGACAAAAATAAGCAATGGGGAAAGGATTTCCTATTTAATAAATTGTGCTGGGAAAACTGGCTAGCCATATGCAGAAAACAAAAACTGGATCTCTTCCTCACACCTTATACAAAAATTAACTCAAAATGGATTAAAGACTTAAATGTAAAACCCAAAACCATAAAAATACTGGAAGAAAACTTAGGCAATACCATTCAGGACGTAAGGGTGGGCAAAGATTTTATGATGAAATCACCAAAAGCAACTGCAACAAACGCTAAAATTGACAAATGGGATCTAATTAAACTAAAGAGCTCCTGCACAGCAAAAGAAACTCATCAGAGAAAGCAGGCAACCTACAGAATGGGAGAAAATTTTTGCAATCTATCCATCTGACAAAGGTCTAATATCCAGAATTTACAAGGAACTTAAATTTACAAAAATAAAAAACAAAAACAAAAACCACCACATCAAAAAGTGGGCAGAGGACATGAACAGACACTTCTCAAAAGAAGACATTTATGCGGCCAATAAACATGAAAGAAAGCTCAACATCACTGATCATTAGAGAAATGCAAATCAAAACCACAGTGAGATACCATCTCATGCCAGTCAGAATGATGATTTTTTTTGTTTAGCAGAGACGAGGTCTCATTATATTTTCCAGGCTGGTCTCAAACTCCTGAGCTCAAGTGATCCTCCCACTTCAGTCCCCCAAAGTGCTGAGATTATACGCATGAGCCACCACAGCCGACCCACGATGTTTTATATGTAGCATTTTCATCATCTTATATGTCTAAATATTTTCTAATCCCTATTATTCTTCTGTGACCCATAAGTTATTTAGAGCATTGTGTAGTTGAGTCCATTCACACTAGCTCAAGAAAGCAATTGTTAAATTTTCAGAAATTTTGAAAGCTGGTTGCTAAACACAGTCATTATTGAAAATAAAATTATATGAACTTAAAATCAAATTAGTTACATCAAAATCCAAGGTAATAAATACTCAAGGCACATTACCTCCTATTTTACTGCATTTTACTATTATCGATGCTTTCAAGATTATTCTATCTATGTATCTGGATGGTGAAAATATTACACAATGTTGTGCTACCGTGCATCTCTTCCTAACAGATATTCAGTGCAGTCTTGTGGGTAACCTGAAATCAGCGATGGAAAAGGTATTTATGTCATAGAAATTAGCAAAATCTAAAAGGACATTTTTTCCTTCTGGAGAATGAGTTGTTCAATATTTGTACATTTTTATATTATCTGAACTTATTTTCTGGTATACATTGTATATATTATATATGTACTTTATGTATATATACTTCATACTTAAAGATATATATACTTCATACTTAAAGAAGCTTTTAAAATGTTACATGCTAAGAGAAATGGTGGATTTAGTGTGCATATAATCCATTATTATGTCTTTAACAAATACATGTGATGAGTAACATGCAGTAGTTACCCCTCTTCAGGGGTCAAGGGAAGGTGCAGAAAAGACCCAACAGTCCTTAAAAATCCACTCAGATGCAAATGCCTGTGACCTTATGTGAGCACTCTAAGTTCTATTTATGCTACATTGGTGAATGCTTCCTACACAACTTTAAAACAGAGGGGTTTTTTTCCCTATTATTTTTCCCAAAACACCACCCACCAAGTTCTAATTATAATATCATATATTTGAATCATGCTTTATGAGTTACAAAGCATTTTTTAATATAGTATCTCTTGATCCTTACAAGGACCCCATGAGGCAGGTATTAGCACCTAAAAGGCTGCCTCCCATTCTGGTTTCTAAGACTTGCAGACTAGATTGTGCTTCCTCATAACTTTTGTCAATTTAGACTTTAATTCTGTCCCACTCCACTTTCATAATTCCAGACCAAGGAGTTTTAATCCTTTTGTTGGTCTTCATGCAGAAACCTCTCACTCTCTTTAATGATTTCAGTTGCCCTAAAGTTCCTTTTTTAAAAAAAGCTTACTTATACATTGGGAAAGAAAAAAGATAAAACCCTGCTTTTAACAAAGAGGCAATCAAAATTGGCAAGCCAGTTCGTTTTCTGATGAAGACAATCATTGTAAAAGGCAGTAAAATGATAGATTTTAAAAATTCATTTCTCATTGCAACAGAAAATGTCATTAGGGCAACAGTCATTTCAGTGATAGAACACAATGAAATCATGCCTGCTTCACTGGAAAAAGTCTATATCTACTGGTTAAATGTGTATTCAAGTCAGAGGAGGGCTAGAATGCATTCACAGCAGTAATAAATCTAGATGGTTCTTCAAGCAACAAGAAAATCTCAGCCTGAAGTCTTAAGAAAAACCTCTATAACAAATCCTTTCTACAATCTTGCTTGAGTTTGAGCACTGACTTGAGTATTGTCTCATCTTTCTCCTTCCATTCACTACCAAACGTCTCAAAAAAAAAAAAAAAAGTAAAACTGGCTGTTTGCCTCCCATCTACTCACTCTTCTACCCTTTGTCATGAGGCATCCATCATTCTATTTCATCTGCTATCTCAAAATTCATGACTCCTAATCATGAACTTCAATGACTCTTCCTCATTCTGTAGCACCCACATGCATATGATTCCCATAGCTACCCTTTTAGCCCAACTTCTCTCCAAAGTTCTACATGTTAATATCATTCTGACCTTTGGACATTTCAACCTGAAAGTCACACTGGCACTTCAAATTCAACATATCCCAAAGTGAAATAACATTTCTCAAATACTTATATTTGATGCTCAATAATGTAACAAAATATGAGATCGATCACCTTCTAAGCATATACAGCCCCTAGACCCATTCTCTTTATATCTATACTATCTTTCGGTTAATGGAGTCAACATCTTCTAAGACAGAAATTCAAGGTCAACAAAGACTCTTTCTCTCAATTCTATACCTAATCAACCATGAAATCATGTCAACTGAACATTTCAAACATGATTCCCATCCATATAGCTATCCTTTCGTTTCTAGTCAAACTTAAATGACTCCAATTCCATTTGTCACTTTTTTTCTTCTCAGAGTCACATTTATTTTGTGGCAAGAGTAATGAAATTGTTTAAAGGAAGGGAAAGTCAACTGTAATTTCATTGACCTTACCAGGTAATGTTTCCTTCCAGTGTAGGTATAGTATATATAATTTTATACAGTTTAACTATAGCAAACTTACAATTTTAAAGCTGATTTTCTTTGATGAAAATAATATACATATTTACCACCAATGTCATTAGTCATTGCAGCTATTTTTAAGTGGAAACATCAACAAAATGATGTCTTAACCATTTCACTATTATGAGAATAGATTGTTTACAGTGTTACATATTTAAAGATAATGCTGCAACAAATATTCCAGGCACATGGGATTTTTTTCCTTTGAATTATTTCAAATGAATATTTTTAAGATAGGTTCAACATTTTACATTAATTTATTAATGTATTTTTCTTGCCATCTATTACTGAGTTATTTTCCCAAAGGTTTGCAACAATTTTCAGAGTATGAGTTTGTCAGTTTCACCACAGCCTCCCCAGAAATATATGCAGTTCAATGATTACTTTCTCTCTCTCTCTTCCCTTCCCTCCTCTCTCTCACCCTTCTTAATGATAAAGCATCCACTTTTTCACTGTCACGATGTTAGCTGTAGGTGTTTTGTTAAATGCTCTTTATCAGGTTGAGGAAGTTCCTTTCTATTTCTAGTGAGTTGAGCATTTTTATCACAAATGGGTGTTGGATTTTATTTAATGATTTTTCTGTATCTATTAATATGAACTTGTGGATTTTTTCTTTTATCATATTAATACAGTATATTACAGTAATTAATTATTTGATATTAAAACAGCCATGTATTCCTCAGATAAATCTCTTTTGGTAATGGTGAATAATTCTTTTTACATGTTGCCAGATTTGGTTTGCTAATATTTCGTTTAGGAGCTTTGTGTCTTTGCTAATAAGAATATTGGCTTGTTGTTTTCTTATTATACCTTTGTCTGGCTTTATTATCAGAGTACTACTAGTCTCAAAGATAGAATTTTTATGTGTTTCTTCATCCTTTTTTTTTTTTTTTTTTTTGAGATGGAGTCTCACTCTGTCACTCAGGCTGCAGTGCAGTGGCACGATCTTGGCTCACTGCAAACTCCACCTCCCAGGTTCAAGTCATTCTCCTGCCTCAGCCTCCCAAGTAGCTGGGACTACAGGTGCGTGACACTACGCCCGGCTAATTTTTTGTATTTTAGTAAAGACGGGGTTTCACTGTGTTATCCACGATGGTCTTGATCTCCTGACCTCGTGATCCACCCACCTTGGCCTCCCAAAGTGCTAGGATTACAGGTGTGAGCCACCACACCTGGCCCTTCCTCCTCTACTTTAAGAGTTTGTGCTATTATCATACATATCACATCTATAGATGTTTTGTACCCAATACATTACTATTATTATTATTGCTTTATACACACTTACATCCTTTAAAGAAGTTAGGAGAAAAAATGATAAAAAGATATATTTAAAAGTATTTTTTATTAACCTGTGTACTTACCATTTCTGATGCCCTTTAATTCTTCCTTGGAATTTGAGTTAAAACTAATGTCATTTCCTTTCATTCTGAAAGACTTCACTTGGTATATTTTATAAGACATGTCTGCTAGCAACCAGTTTTACCAGTCTTTATTAGAAATGTCTTTATTTTGCTGTCATTTATGAAGAATAGTTTTGATATATTAGAATTCTTGCTAGCTGTCTATCAATTTTGTTGATCTTTTCAAAAAACCAGCTCCTGGATTCAGATAATCCTAAGCCAAAAGAACAAAGCTGGAGGCATCACACTACCTGACTTCAAACTATGCTACAAGGCTACAGTAACCAAAACAGCATGGTACTGGTACCAAAACAGAGATGTAGACCAATGGAACAGAACAGAGCCTTCAGGAATAATACCACACATCTACAACCATCTGATCTTTGACAAACCTGACAAAAAAGAAGAAATGGGGAAAGGATTCCCTATTTAATAAATGGTGATGGGGAAACTGGCTAGCCATATGTAGAAAGCTGAAACTGGATCCCTTCCTTACACCTTATACAACAATTAATTGAAGATGGATTAAAGACTTATATGTTAGACCTAAAGCCATAAAAACTCTAGAAGAAAACCTAGGCAACACCATTCAGGACATGGGCATAGGCAAGGACTTCACATCTAAAACACCAAAAGCAATGGCAACAAAAGCCAAAATTGACAAATGGGATCTAATTAAACTAAAGAGCTTCTGCACAGCAAAAGAAACTACCATCAGAGTGAACAGGCAACCTACAGAATGGGAGAAAATTTTTGCAGTCTACTCATCTGACAAAGGGCTAATATCCAGAATCTACAAAGAACTCAAACAAACTTACAAGAAAAAAACAAACAACCCCATCAAAAAGTAGGCGAAGGATATGAACAGACACTTCTCAAAAGAAGACATTTATGCAGCCAATACACACATGAAAAAATGCTCATCATCACTGGCTATCAGAGAAACGCAAATCAAAACCACAATGAGATACCATCTCACACCAGTTAGAATGGCAATCATTAAAAAGTCAGGAAACAACAGGTGCTGGAGAGGATATGGAGAAATAGGAACATTTTACACTTTTGGTGGGACTGTAAACGAGTTCAACCATTGTGGAAGACAGTGTGGTGATTCCTCAAGGATCTAGAACTAGAAATACCATTTGACCCAGCCATCCCATTACTGGGTACATACCCAAAGGATTATAAATCATGCTGCTATAAAGACACATGCACATGTATGTTTACTGCGGCACTATTCACAATAGCAAAGACTTGGAACCAACCCAAATGTCCATCAATGATAGACTAGATTAAGAAAATGTGGCACATACAATGAGATACCATCTCACACCAGTTGGAATGGCGATTATTAAAAAGTCAAGAAACAACAGGTGCTGGAGAGGATGTGGAGAAATAGGAACACTTTTACACTGTTGGTGGGACTGTAAACTAGTTCAACCATTGCGGAAGTCAGTGTGGCGATTCCTCAGGGATCTAGAACTAGAAATACCATTTGACCCAGCCATCCCATTACTGGGTATATACCCAAAGGATTATAAATCATGCTGCTATAAAGACACATGCACATGTATGTTTACTGCGGCACTATTCACAATAGCAAAGACTTGGAACCAACCCAAATGTCCGTCAATGACAGACTGGATTAAGAATACGTGGCACATACAATGAGATACCATCTCACACCAGTTAGAATGGGGATTATTAAAAAGTCAAGAAACAACAGGTGCTGGAGAGGATGTGGAGAAATAGGAACACTTTTACACTGTTGGTGGGACTGTAAACTAGTTCAACCATTGTGGAAGTCAGTGTGGCGAGTCCTCAGGGATCTAGAACTAGAAATACCATTTGACCCAGCCATCCCATTACTGGGTATATACCCAAAGGATTATAAAACATGCTCCTATAAAGACACATGCACATGTATGTTTATTGTGGCACTATTCACAATAGCAAAGACTTGGAACCAACCCAAATGTCCAAAAATGATAGACTGGTGGCACATATACACCATGGAATACTAAGCAGCCATGAAAAAGGATGAGTTCATGTCCTTTGTAGGGATATGGATGAAGCCAGAAACCATCATTCTCAGCAAACTATTGCAAGGACAAAAAACCAAACACCACATGTTCTCACTCATAGGTGGGAACTGAACAATGAGAACACTAGGACACAGGAAGGGGAACATCACACACTGGGGCCTGTCGTGAGGTGGGGGGAGTGGGGAGGGATAGCATTAGGAGATATACCTAATGTAAATGATGAGTTGATGGGTGCAGCACACCAACATGGCACATGTATACATATGTAACAAACCTGCACGTTGTGCACTTGTACCCTAGAACTTAAAGTATAATTTAAAAAAAAAAACCGTACACCTTTTGTCCAACAGTACCCCCATCACTCCACCCTCAGCTCCCGGTAACCACCATTCTACTCTCTGCTTCTGTAATTTCTACTATTTTGAATTTCTTAATAAATGAGATCATGCAGTATTTGTCTTCCTGTGCCTGACATTTTTTGGCATGAAATTACATTTTTATTTGTATAGCTTTATATAGATTGTTGTTTGCTGGGTCAGTAGATTCAAAGGGAAAAAAATATTCTTTGACCCAATGTTTTACATAGTTAAGGTAACTGGGCTGAATCCTACCAACCTGAAAAAATGTATTTTTTGCTTTTATTAATATTTTTAATGGAAACATAACAATCATACATATTTACAGGGTACAGTGTGATATTTCAGTACATGTATACAATGTGTAATGATCAAATCAGGGTAAGTAGCATACCTATCACCTCAAATATTTATCATTTGTGTTCAGAACATTCAAAATCTGCTCTTCTACCTATTTGATGAATTTATTTCAGTTATTGTACTTTTCAACTTCAGAATTTGTTTTATAATTTCTAGCTCCTTACTTATTGAGTCATTGGTGTTATACTCTCCTTTAATTTTTTTTTTTTTTTTTAGATGGAGTCTCGCTCTGTGCCTAGGCTGGAGTACAGTGGTGCGATCTCGGCTCACTGCAAGCTCCGCCTCCCTGGTTCACGCCATTCCCCTGTCTCAGCCTCCCGAGTAGCTGGGACTACAGGCACCCACCACCACACCTGGCTAATTTTTTGTATTTTTAGTAGAGACAGGGTTTCACCATGTTAGCCAGGATGGTCTCTATTTCCTGACCTCGTGATCTGCCTGCCTCGGCCTCCCAAAGTGCTGGGATTACAGGCATGAGCCACCGCGCCCGGCCTCCTTTAATTCTTTAAATATAGTTGCATGTAGTTTCTTGAACATGTTTATAATAATTTCTTTGAAGAATTGGTCTGCTAAACCCAACATCTGAGGACACTGAGAGGCAGTTTCGATTGACTGCTTTTTTTTCCTCTGAGTGTGAGTCACACATTACTGTTTCTTTGTAAGCCTCATCATGTTTTGTTGAAACCTGAACATTATAGGTAACATATTGTAGTAACTCTAGATACTGATTTTTCCCCACTTGAAGGTTATTGTTGTTTAATAACTTGCCTCAGCTAAATCTGTGAAATCTGTCTCCCTCAGTGTGTGTGGTTATGATATCCCTGTTGAGTTCCTGTTAACTATTATTACGCTTGTTTTTCATTTTTAAGCCTAAACTCTTAAGAGTCACCTTTGTGTCTACATAGGTTGGCAGTCAGTCAATGATTAGACAGAGGATGTGATCTAACATCTCAAGCCCATAAGGCTTTCATCCTCTACCAGTGAACCTGTGTGTGGGTAGGCACATGCACTCAAAGTCCAAGCTGTTTTACGTCTGCCTAGACTTTCACATGCTGTTGGGCCCTTTAGTGTCTCCTCTGCATATTCAAACAGCCTCAAAGTTGGTCAACAGTATATGGACAGTTTGAGCTCTCTACAGTCTTTACTGCACCTCAGGCAGGAATATGCTCACTTTAATCACTCCTGCAACCTCGGGCTTCTAGAGATGTTGGCCTTTCCCATTCACCCTATTTCTGAGATTGTCAATTCCACTGACAATGCTGGTGGGTGTGGACATCACCAGCCACTTCAATCAAGTCAATTCAGCAACACAGCTGCTAGTCCTCATAGCCTGCCTTGCCCTGGCCAAACCTCGATGCTAACAAAGCTGTAGTAGGAGGAGGGAAAATGAGAGGAATCTCAAGAAAAAACATCGGAAACTCCCACTGTCCTTACAGCAAGTCATACAGTTATTTAAGTATAAATGGTTCTCAGATTGTTGTATAACTTTGGACAGTTTCTAGAACACTGAAATTGTTATTTGTGTCAATTCTGTCCAGCTTTATAGTTGCTTTTTTAGGAAGAGGATTTGCCAACCTCACTGAGCCATAGCTAATCCATATTTTCAAATTCTCATTATTGTTTCATTTAGCATTTTTAATTATTAGTAACGTTGAACATTTTCTGGTTTATATTTCCCATTGAGTGAATTTTCCATTCTCCTGTTTCACTTCTTCATATCTGGATATGTTTCTCATCTCTGTGAATTTATTATAGATGTATGTTTGATATAATAAACTCAATTATTTTTCTCATGTCATTTTTATAATTTTTCCTCAGGAGCTTTTTATTTCAAGCATTAGAGTGTTTTCTGGTCTTTGAAGCCTGAGAAAGTTCCCAGTTACTCTTTACCCAAACCAGTTATAGTGGCTTATCAATCAATTCCCCAGTTTCTCATCTTCAGCACACCCTATGTAATGCTTTTCTTATACAGGCAAGATAACCATTAAGTGCTAATGAATTCAATTATTTCTGACAGGAAATTCATGCTAACAGGAGGCAATATTAATTAGGGAAATCTAAATTTTGAAATATATGCAGTTTTATTGTATTAATTGTAATATCTTTAGCTTCTGACAAGGTAACACCAAGATGTTGTGGACAAATATTTACTAATTATGACATTTGTAACTTGGCAACATTATTAACATGTCACAAAATGCTTAATTATTTCAGGCATTTAGATTAAATATGCTTTTTCCTTCTATGTTCACTTCTTCCATTTCATTTACCCTTGAAATGGCTTCCTTCATGGTTGGCAAACTGTAGTCCAAGCTTTGTCTGAAACCATTGCTAAGTGAGTACAATATGAAATTGGAAACTAGACAAGGTATATGAGCTCAACTACAAACCTGATCCCCAGATGCAGGTTAAGACATGATGATGCAGCCATAATGAAGAGGAGCATGTAAGGCCCATAATCAGAAAAGATCACCTGTGTAATGGGTGTTCACAAGAATCTACATGCTGATAACAGGATTTGCTGCCTTAAGTTACCTTCCCAGAACTAACTTGCCCTAACAGGAGATTTACAGGCAGCATGATATTGAGAGCCTGATGTGTCTACCCTCCAATGCACTAACAGGAAACAATCAATCTAGGAGGTTATGAGGGTAAAAGCCTTTAAACTAAGAAACTGCAATATTAACAAAAGTATGTTGATGAAAGATACTATAGAAATAGCATATGCAAATGAACTGGTGGGTCAGCAGAAAGCCCAGAGGAAAGAAAAGAATCATTTGCACTGCATTATATGATCCAAGGCTGAAAGAGATTCTGTTTGTTGCACTTGAATTGTCATGAGAATAGTATGAGCAGTATTAGGGAGAGAGAGTCCATCCAGTTCTCTGGTTCTCCAGAAAGGGGTGGCACTGGATATATATTGAGAAGCAACAAATAAGAAGCTATGAGATGGGACATCACAATGTATTAGACAATGTGTGTGTGTGTGTGTGTGTGTGTGCATTTATATACATACATATGATAAAGCAGATATCTCTACCTACATTTTACATATAATGATACTGAGGCTTAGTTACAGACATTACCTTGGTCCCGTAGCTCCAAAGCCTATGCATTTTCCACTTTGACAGCTTTAAAAACTTTCATTAGGTATCCTGAATGTGGAGAGGTTTCATAAACATCCCATAATAGGAACTCTTATATCCCTCTCTCTAAGCAATCCTTTGGCTTTCCAGAACAAAACCATTTCATGAAAGGGGATAACATGCACTAAAGTCACTCAGAGAAAGCCACTCACGATCTCACCTGGCCCAGGCAGACAGTGCTTTCAGTATATTTAGGTCAGAGGG
The DNA here is from genome assembly GCF_000001405.40 of Homo sapiens. Classification (NCBI taxonomy): domain Eukaryota; kingdom Metazoa; phylum Chordata; class Mammalia; order Primates; family Hominidae; genus Homo; species Homo sapiens. Next base: position 210,981,195 of record NC_000001.11, read on the forward strand.
AAAAAGACACGGAGTTTAACTCATGTCTTATTCTATGCATTGGCCATGTTGGACTGAACAGTCAGGGAACTGATGGCCAAAAGGAAAACTCAGCATTAGAGACATGATTGCTTCAGCAACTACATCTAGTCCCAGGGGCTCCTCAGTCCATGAATGAGTCATTAGAAGTAACAACGACAAAAAAAAAAAAAAAAAAAAGAATCATCCCTTATCACACCATGGCTATATGAAGAAAATTACCAACATGAAAAAAGAAGGGCCAGTGTTTGGCTTTCTTATGACTGAGTAGGAGTAACTATGTAGCTGTCCTAAATGAATTCGGTCATTAATATAGAGAAAATTTTTTCATGTAAAAATGTCTTCATTTGCTAGCTATAAATACTATCTCTATAAATACTATCTCAATAAGGAATGACATAATCTGAAACCAGGTTCTCCTTCTCTATAATTATATTCAAATTGCCCAAAGTCCATCTGTACTGTCAAATGAAACAGAAATGGGGCCAGAATTCCAGTGACTCAGGCAAAACTTCCTGGCAAACTTGTGGAGACTTTTTTTCTACACCAGAATTGTTCCCTTTGCTGCAACTGCCTTCATTTTCCTCTTAGTTCTAGAGGTGAAGGCTATTTAGAAACAGAATAAAGAGCTAAAATTTTCAAGCTTTCAAGGCAGGGTAAAGAGGGGCCAGGGGAATGTGTATGTGTGGTCACATGTATGTGGGCACATGTGTGTTAAGTTTGATGCATAGGTTGGGGGAAGCGGGTACGGTTTGAAAGAGGATACCAAAAGCAAACTTAATCTTAATCCTCCCCCTCCCAAAAACATGGCTCAGGAATCAATCAGGCAAGAACTAGAAAATTGGTCTGGGGGTCATGAAATCTAATCTTTAGTCCACCAGCAATAAGACTTTCAAAAAGTCAATTGCTCCTGACTCTTGTCTTCTCTTTTCATAAAATTTTCAACATCCACACAGGAATATTGGGAATAAAATTAAATAACAGCTACGAAAAGGATGCGAGAATACTTTTATTATTATTATTATTATTATTATTATAAAGTTTTAGGGTACATAAGTTAGGGTAATAAACTTTAGGGTAAAGTTTTAGGGTACATGTGCACAACGTGCAGGTTTGTTACATACGTATACATGTGCCATGTTGGTGTGCTGCACCCATTAACTCATCATTTAGCATTAGGTATATCTCCAATGCTATCCCTCCCCCTTCCCCCCACTCCACACCAGTCCCCGGTATGTGATGTTCCCCTTCCTGTGTCCATGTCTTCTCATTATTCAATTCCTACCTATGAGTGAGAACATGTGGTGTTTGGTTTTTTGTCCTTGTGATAGTTTGCTGAGAATGATGGTTTCCAGTTTCATCCATGTCCCTACAAAGGACATGAACTCATCACTTTTTATGGCTGCATAGTATTCCATGGTGTATATGTGCCACATTTTCTTAATCCAGTCTATCGTTGTTGGACATTTGGGTTGGTTCCAAGTCTTTGCTATTGTGAATAGTGCCGCAATAAACATACGTGTGCATGTGTCTTTATAGCAGCATGATTTATAATCCTTTGGGTATACACCCAGTAATGGGATGGCTGGGTCAAATGGTATTTCTAGTTCTAGATCCCTCAGGAATCACCACACTGACTTCCACAATGGTTGAACTAGCTTACAGTCCCACCAAAAGTGTAAAAGTGTTCCTATTTCTCCACATCCTCTCCAGCACCTGCTGTTTCCTGACTTTTTAATGATCGCCATTCTAACTGGTGTGCGATAGTAACTCATTGTGGTTTTGATTTGTGTTTCTCTGATGGCCAGTGATGATGAGCATTTTTTCCCGTGTTTTTTGGCTGCATAAATGTCTTCTTTTGAGAAGTGTCTGTTCATATCCTTCACCCACTTTTTGATGGGGTTGTTTGTTTTTTTCTTGTAAATTTGTTTGAGTTCACTGTAGATTCTGCATATTAGCCATTTGTCAGATGAGTAGATTGCAGAAATGTTCTCCCATTCTGTAGGTTGCCTGTTCACTCTGATGGTAGTTTCTTTTGCTGTGCAGAAGCTCTTAAATTTAATTAAATCCCATTTGTCAATTTTGTCTTTTGTTGCCATTGCTTTTGGTGTTTTAGTCATGAAGTCCTTGCCCACGCCTATGTTCTGAATGGTATTGCCTAGGTTTTCTTCTAGGGTTCTTATGGTTTTAGGTCTAACATATAAGTCTTTAATCCATCTTGAATTAATTTTTGTGTAAGGTGTAAGGAAGGGATCCAGTTTCAGCTTTCTACATATGGCTAGCCAGTTTTCCCAGCACCATTTATTAAATAGGGAATCCTTTCCCCATTTCTTCTTTTTTGTCAGGTTTGTCAAAGATCAGATAGTTGCAGACATGCAGCATTATTTCTGAGGGCTCTGTTCTGTTGCATCAGTCTATATCTCTGTTTTGGTACCAGTACCATGCTGTTTTGGTTACTGTAGCCTTGTAGTGTAGTTTGAAGTCAGGTAGCGTGATGTCTCCAGCTTTGTTCTTTTGGCTTAGCATCGACTTGGCGATGCGGGCTCTTTTTTGGTTCCATATGAACTTTAAAGTAGTTTTTTCCAATTCTGTGAAGAAAGTCATTGGTAGCTTGATGGGAATGGCATTCAATCTATAAATTACTTTGGGCAGTATGGCCATTTTCGTGATATTGATTCTTCCTACCTATGAGCATGGAATGTTCTTCCATTTGTTTGTATCCTCTTTTATTGCATTGAGCAGTGGTTTGTAATTGTCCTTGAAGGGGTCCTTCACATCCCTTGTTAGTTGGATTCCTAGGTATTTTATTCTCTTTGCAGCAATTGTGAATCGGAGTTCACTCATGATTTGGCTCTCTGTTTGTCTGTTATTGGTGTATAAGAATGCTTGTGATTTTTGCACATTGATTTTGTATCCTGAGACTGCTGAAGTTGTCTATCAGCTTAAGGAGATTTTCAGCTGGGAAGACAATGGGGTTTTCTAGATATACAATCATGTCATCTGCAAACAGCGACAATTTGACTTCCTCTTTTCCTAATTGAATACCCTTTATTTCCTTCTCCTGCCTGATTGCCCTGGCCAGAACTTCCAACACTATGTTGAATAGGAGTGGTGAGAGAGGGCATCCCTGTCTTGTGCCAGTTTTCAAAGGGAATGCTTCCAGTTTTTGTCCATTCAGTATGATATTGGCTGTGGGTTTGTTATAGATAGCTCTTATTATTTTGAGATACGTCCCATCAATACCTAATTTATTGAGAGATTTTAGCATGAAGCGTTGTTGAATTTTGTCAAAGGTCTTTTCTGCATCTATTGAGATAATCATGTGGTTTTTGTCACTGGTTCTGTTTATATGCTGGATTACGTTTTTTGATTTTCGTATGTTGAACCAGCCTTGCATCCCAGGGATGAAGCCCACTTGATCATGGTGGCTAAGCATGGATAAGCTTTTTGATGTGCTGCTGGATTTGGTTTGCCAGTATTTTATTGAGGATTTTTGCATCAATGTTCCTCAGGGATATTGGTCTAAAATTCTCTTTTTTTGTTGTGTCTCTGCCAGGCTTTGGTATGAGGATGATTCTGGTCTCATAAAATGAGTTAGGGAGGATTCCCTCTTTTTCTATTGATTGGAATAGTTTCAGAAGGAATGGTACCAGCTCCTCTTTGTACCTCTGGTAGAATTCAGCTGTGAACCCATCTGGTCGTGGACTTTTTTTGGTTGGTAAGCTATTAATTATTGCCTCAATTTCAGAGCCTGTTATTGGTCTATTCAGAGATTCCATTTCTTCCTGGTTTAGTCTTGGGAGGGTGTATATGTCGAGGAATTTATCCATTTCTTCTTGATTTTCAAGTTTTTTGTGTAGAGATGTTTCTAGTATTCTCTGATGGTAGTTCGTATTTCTGTGGGATCGGTGGTGATATCCCTTTATCATTTTTTATTGCATCTATTTGATTCTTCTCTCTTTTGTTCTTTATTAGTCTTGCTAGTAGTCTATCAATTTTGTTGATCTTTTCAAAAAACCAGCCCCTGGATTCACTGATTTTTTGAAGGGTTTTTTGTGTCTCTATCTCCTTCAGTTCTGCTCTGATCTTAGTTATTTCTTGCCTTCTGCTAGCTTTTGAATGAGTTTGCTCTTGCTTTTCTAGTTCTTTTAATTGTGATGTCAGGGTGTCAATTTTGGATCTTTCCTGCTTTCTCTTGTGGGCATGTAGTGCTATAAATTTCCCTCTACACACTGCTTTGAACGTGTTCCAGAGATTCTGGTATGTTGTGTCTTTGTTCTCGCTGGTTTCAAAGAACATCTTTATTTCTGCCTTCATTTCGTTATGTACCCAGTAGTCATTCAGGAGTAGGTTGTTCAGTTTCTATGTAGTTGAGTGGTTTTGAGTGAGTTTCTTAATCCTGAGTTCTAGTTTGATTGCACTGTGGTCTGGGAGAGAGTTTGTTATAATTTCTGTTCTTTTACATTTGCTGAGGAGTGCTTTACTTCCAACTATGTGGTCAATTTTGGAACAGGTGTGGTGTGGTGCTGAAAAGAATGTATATTCTGTTGAGTCGGGGTGGAGAGTTCTATAGATGTCTATTAGGTATGCTTGGTCCAGAGCTGAGTTCAATTCCTGGATATCCATGTTAACTTTCTGTCTCATTGATCTGTCTAATGTTGACAGTAGGGTGTTAAAGTCTCCCATTATTATTGTGTGGGAGTCTAAGTCTCTTTCTAGGTCGCTAAGGACTTGCTTTATGAATCTGGGTGCTCCTGTATTGGGTGCATATATATTTATGATAGTTAGCTCTTCTTGTTGAATTGATCCCTTTACCATTATGTAATGGCCTTCTTTGTCTCTTTTGATGTTTGTTGGTTTAAAGTCTGTTTTATCAGAGACTAGGATTGCAACCCCTGCCTTTTTTTGTTCTCCATTTGCTTAGTAGATCTTCCTCCATCCCTTTATTTTGAGCCTATGTGTGTCTCTGCACGTGAGATGGGTCTCCTGAATACAGCACACTGATGGGTCTTGCCTCTTTATCCAATTTGCCAGTGTTTGTCTTTTAATTGGAGCATTTAGCTCATTTACATTTAAGGTTAATATTGTTATGTGTGAATTTGATCCTGTCATTATGATGTTAGCTGATTATTTTGCTCATTAGTTGATGCAACTTCTTCCTAGCCTTGATGGTCTTTACAACTTGGCATGTTTTTGCAGTGGCTGGTACTGGTTGTTCCTTTCCATGTTTAGTGCTTCCTTCAGGAGCTCTTTTAGGGCAGGCCTGGTGGTGACAAAATCTCTCAGCATTTGCTTGTCTGTAAAGGATTTTATTTCTCCTTCACTTATGAAGCTTAGTTTGGCTGGATATGAAATTCTTGGTTGAAAATTCTTTTCTTTAAGAATGTTGAATATCAGCCCCCACTCTCTTCTGGCTTGTAGAATTTCTGCTGAGAGATCAGCTGTTAGTCTGATGGGTTTCCCTTTGTGGGTAACCCGACCATTCTCTCTGGCTGCCCTTAACATCTTTTCCTTCATTTCAACGTTGGTGAATCTGACAATTATGTGTCTTGGAGTTGCTCTTCTCGAGGAGTATCTTTGCGGTGTTCTCTGTATTTCCTGAATTTGAATGTTGGCCTGTCTTGCTAGATTGGGGAAGTTCTCCTGGATAATATCCTGCAGAGTGTTTTCCAACTTGGTTCCATTCTCCCCATCACTTTCAGGTATACCAGTCAGATGTAGATTTGGTCTTTTCACATAGTCCCATGTTTCTTGGAGGCTTTGTTCATTTCTTTTTATTGTTTTTTCTCTAAACTTCCCTTCTCACTTCATTTCATTCATTTCATCTTCCATCACTGATACCCTTTCTTCCAGGTGAGTGAATCAGCTACCGAGGCTTGTGCATTCGTCACATAGTTCTTGTGCCTTGGTTTTCAGCTCCATCAGGTCCTTTAAGGACTTCTCTGCATTGGTTATTCTAGTTAGCCATTCGTCTAATTTTTTTCAAGGTTTTTAACTTCTTTGCCGTGGGTTTGAACTTCCTCCTTTAGCTCGGAGTAGTTTGATCATCTGAAGCCTTCTTCTCTCAACTCGTCAAAGCCATTCTCCACCCAGCTTTGTTCCATTGCTGGTGAGGAGCTGCGTTTCTTTCGAGGAGGAGAGGCACTCTGCTTTTTAGAGTTTCCAGTTTTTCTGCTCTGTTTTCTTCCCATCTTTGTAGTTTTATCTACCTTTGGTCTTTGATGATGGTGACGTACAGATGGGTTTTTGGTGTGGATGTCCTTTCTGTTTGTTAGTTTTCCTTCTAACAGTCAGGACCCTCAGCTGCAGGTCTGTTGGAGTTTGCTGGAAGTCCACTCCAGACCCCGTTTGCCTGGGTATCAGCAGCGGTGGCTTCAGAACAGCGGATATTGGTGAACCGCAAATGCTGCTGCCTGATCGTTCCTCTGGAAGTTTTGTCTCAGAGGAGTACCCGGCCGTGTGAGGTGTCAGTCTGCCCCTACTGGGGGGTGCCTCCCAGTTAGGCTACTCGGGGGTCAGTGACCCGCTTGAGGAGGCAGTCTGCCTGTTCTCAGATCTCAAGCTGCATGCTGGGAGAACCACTACTCTCTTCAAAGCTGTCAGACAGGGATATTTAAGTCTGCAGAGGTTACTGCTGCCTTTTGATTGTCTGTGCCCTGCCCCTAGAGGTGGAGCCTACAGAGGCAGGCAGACCTCCTTGAGCTGTAGTGGGCTCCACCAAGTTCGAGGTTCCTGGCTGCTTTGTTTACCTAATCAAGCCTGGGCAATGGCAGGCGCCCCTCCCCCAGCCTCGCTGACACCTTGCAGTTTGATCTCAGACTGCTGTGCTAGTAATGAGTGAGATTCTGTGGGTGTAGGACCCTCTGAGCCAGGTGCAGGATATAATCTCCTGATGTGCCATTTGTTAAGCCCGTTGGAAAAGCGCAGTATTAGGGTGGGAGTGATCCAATTTTCCAGGTGCCGTCTGTCACCCCTTTCTCTGACTAGGAAAGGGAATTCCCTGACCCCTTGTGCTTCCTGGGTGAGGCAATGCCTCGCCCTGCTTCAGATCACACATGGTGTGCTGCACCCACTGTTCTGCACCCACTGTCCGGCACTCCCCAGTGAGATGAACCCGGTACCTCAGTTGGAAATGCAGAAATCACGGGTCTTCTGCGTCACTCACACTGGGAGCTGTAGACTGGAGCTGTTCCTATTCAGCCATCTTGGCTCCTCCCCCTATGCGAGAATACTTAAAGCTTTATTATTGCAAGATATGCTGAGAACCGTTTACAAATTCAGATAAACCTAAAATAAATGAACCACAATAATACATGCCATGTCTATTGCAATAAGCCATCACCAGGATTAATCTATCTCCTGATAGCAGGATAAATACTTAGAAGCAACATATTTGAAAGTATTGCCCCAAGACCTAATAAATGACCATGACGACTAACTTGGGGAACCAGAATTGGAATTGGATTATGTGAGAACAGAAGGCCTATAAACACTCTAAACAAATGTTTCTGTTTAATATGTGAGGCCCAGCAGTGAAGCAGTGTTCATGTTGGAGTGGAGTGAAGACAAAGAAAACCAGATTCTCTCTAGAAGAAAAACAAAATGAAATGGAAGTTATGTTTTATGATTTGCTGCCTGCTTGAGATTAGACCTGACAATGTTCAATAAAGCAAATAAATTTCATTCACTGAAATGCTGGTGCTGACCAACTAGCTTTGTGTGTCTCTATCATGGCTTGGAAACTGACATGCTTATAATAGGATGAAAATAATAGATGTTCAATGTAGCTCCTTAGATAACATTTTTTTTCTTTTTGCAAAAGTGGTGCTACTGTCACACATTTTAGGTTGCTTTTCCACATATGAGTTGAATCAAACAGTGACATCTTCATACCCTCTGTAAGTACCTCCATGTTCATGGGCTGGCCCACAAGTGGCAAAAGAAAGTGGGCCAAGTTTTGTGCTTTTTCAATGCATCTGCTCCACACAAGGATCACCCTCTCCTAAATTCAAGACTCAGAGATGTTAACTTGTGCTGTGGATACATTTTTTTAACAAACTTCCAATATGTTTATGAAGCAAAAACAAAGGCAAAAGACACAAAATACTACTTTTGTGAATAGAAATAGATATCAAAGCCAGTCTGTGAGTTTTCTTGTTATAGCCACGAGCTGAGATTTGCTCCTCAGCTGGGATATACGCAAACCAGTGTTAGAATCTATCCATTTCTATACTCAAATATTGAGTTGCTTCTGACATCTATGTAGCCAGCCACAACAGTGCTGTCTTCAAGGGCATACCCTCTAAAATAGGGAGTCTAAAGAGCCATAAACCTGATATGCCCTAGTGCTTCTTAACATCAGGCTCTTAATAAAGGGTTTTTGTTGTTGTTGTCAAGGAACAGAAATGAGAAAAAGCTGCCAAGCAGTTATAATTTGGAGTATCTTGTGTGTAGCACTTCAAGAGATTTAAAACTTCAAGAGATTCAAATGCAGTGAAAACCATCGGGGCTCTCAGGATAATCTATAGGTATCGAGATACCTGTGCCTAGAGAGAGTTCCATTCTTCCTGAAAAATATTTCATTATTACCTGATGAGTCACTTATTTCATTTTCCACTCTCCTAAATTACTGTTTGATTTTTATTTTTATAAGTGGCACTTTGTAACTAGCCCAATTTATTTTAAAAGCTTCTAAGTGTTTTCTCTTCCCTAGTCCCTACTATTTCTTCTGTGTGATTGCAGAAAAGCTACTGTGTTATGAACATGCTGCACTGCTCTGTATATTCACCTTCCTGGGCAAATACTCAGCTCATCTGATATTTAATGTGTCTTTCTTGCTGACCCTTCAGGGTACATATCTCCCCCACCACATCCAATAAGCATGATGGATTACATTCAATTTAGCTAATGCAGACCTGTAACTAATTACAGCAGCATCTCAAATGAGGCTGGAGTTACAGCCTTGCCAAAGTGCCCTTTATCAACAGCTTGTTTCCAGAGATTTATACAGCAAGGATGGTGAATTCAATTGTAAATATGAGAAGAGGGTATAATGGCTAAGCTGCCAACACCAAGGGCTGTGAGTCCTAATTATTGAAGGAGATAGATCCATGGATCCTTGGAGCAAATGAAGAAAAATGTATATTGCAGCATCCCGGAGGGGCCTGCTGGCCGTTACTCATGTTACTTACTCATGTTACCCAGTGTTATGCTAGGCAGATTTGGTGGCTAGCAGGGTGCCCAAAGGTCAAGAAAAGATTCATGATAATCTCGACAAGCTACTGTTTTGACATTCCAAGTGTGACCCTGGGCAAGGTACCCTCTCTTGATCTCAGGCTCCCCATCAGTAAGATGGAAAGGCAGCAGAGCCTGGTTTCTAAACCTAGCTGCATCCCTGAGGGGCTCTCTAAGTTGAGAGTAAGTTACTCAACCTTTCTAAACTTTAGTTTACTCAACAGCAAAACAGAAATAAGAATAACTACCTTGCACAATTGTGAGGATTTAATGTGATAATGTTTATAAAACATCAACAGAATGTCTAGCACATATTAGGACCTCAATAAATAACCAATATTTGGTTCCAAGATTAGTATTTCATCCATTTTGATTATAAGAATCAAAATGAAATTGCATATGGAAAAGAGCTATGAAAAAATATTAAGTGCTAAGGCATTATAATACAGAGTTTACCTAGAACCCCACAATAAAATGGACAATCCATGTTTTGCTTTACCAACATAGACTATGGGAAAACAGGCAGGAAGGAATTCTCTCTAAAGGCCCTTACTTTGCTCCTTACTGTATAAAATGATATAAAATGAATTGCAGAAAGAGTCCTCAAAAAAACTAAAAATAAAATTACCATATGTCCCAGAATCCCACTTCTGGGTATATATCTAAAGGAAATGAAATCAGTATGTCAAAAAGATATCTGCATGCTCATCTTCACTGCAGGCATTACTATTCACAATAGGCAAGATATGGAATCAAGCTAAGTGTCCATGGTTGGATGAATGGACAAAGAAAACGTAGTATATACACACACTGGAAAATTATACAGCGTTTTTTAAGAAGAAAATCTTGTCATTTGCAACACCATGGGTAAACCTGGAAGACATTATGCTAAATGAAATAAGCCAGACACAGAAAGACAAATACTGCATGATCTCACTTACATTTGGAATCAAAAAAAGTCAAACCCGTAGAAGTATTGAGTAGAATGGTGGTTAACAGAGGCTGAGGAGGCAGGGGGAGTGGAGGAGATGTTGGTCAAAGGGTACAAAGTTTCAGTTAGACAGGAGGAATAAGTTTTAGTGATCTATTGCTCAACATGGTGACCATAGTTAATGTATTATACATCTCAAAATTGCCAGAAGGTTTTCTGTTCTTGCCACACACACACACACACACACACACACACATAACACATACACACATACACACCAGAAAAAAAAGGTGTTACATATGTTAATTAGCTTGATTTAATCATCCCACAATGATCAAAATATCCCATTGTACCCCATAAATACAGATAATTATTTGTCAATAAAAATAAAGTAAGATTTAAATTGTTTTTAAAGGATGAAAACCAGAAAGCAGAAAGCAGAATTAGCCCTTAGCACTGCCAGTCTGGTCTGACCTTTAGAGCTGGCTTTAATGTAAAATCTCTCCTGAGATTGGGGCCTCCCCTTTTAGTCAAGGCTCCAGCATGCAGAGAGTGGATGATCATCAAGAGGCTCAAGCTCAAATCCTCAGGAATAAATAGTAATACATAAAGAGGAGTTTCCCAAAAGCAATACTTCCCAGGATCAAGTACCTTTGTGAGGTTAGTAATTGTTCTTTTGGATCATTTCCTAGGCTGACAACAACACTAGTCACTAAATGCTAACAATGTGGGCACTGCAGTAATCTACATACATATCTAATTTAATCCCTACAACACCTTGCAAGTAGACACTGCCCTTATTAAAGATGAGAACACCGCAATTCAGAGGATAACCAATATCTGTAATCTATAAGTACAAGCACGTATCTAATAAGAGACAGAGTCAAACAGGCGATTGTTATTTTGTCATGCCCTTCTACATAACAGTGAAAGATACTGTTGTTTGACCACCTGATGATTCTATCTGCCAATCTCTGGTTATATCTTTCTTGCAGACCTAGCTCAAAATCCTCAACCTGAAGAAATTATATTCCCTCTAAAATTCCCAAGGCGCTAAACAGAGCACTCATTTCTGGTGCTATTTAATCAATCACTGCTGAATAAATACAGGGGTAAGGCAGCATGTTTTTGTCATATCTTTCCCAAAGACACAAAACACATTCATATTTTTTATTTCATCAGTTCTAGTGGCTGCTTTTTTAACATATTTTTTTGGATTGAGACATAAATAAGGGGTTCTATAAAACATTTTAAGTGGCATTATTTGCAAGGTCTCCTTCTTTCCTGTAAGTGTTACCATGCTATTTGTTGCTTTTTCTGTTCAAATGGAATCTTTTCGTTTTTATACATCCATTTCAAAAAAATCTGGTTATATAAAATGTAACTTAAAAAAGAAGTCTCCTATATTGCTTAGCATGTTTTAGTTTCTATTTTTTCTTTATGCTTTCCCTTAATGAGACTTCTCCTACCTTTTCTAAATAGCCCCAAATGGATCTGCCAACTTGTTTACAACATGCTTAAACCTACACTCACCATTTGCACTACTTTCATGGGTCTGTCTTTGCACGAGTAGGGAGAGGACAAGCTGTCTCCAGCACCTCCACCCATGTCTCTGAGGCAGGTCATGCTCTCAGAAGTCTCCCTCTAGGCCCCCACCCACATCGCTGTGATCTGACAGTGGAGCACACACTCCTTTCTCACTCACTTAAGCTTGCCCAACCCTCCCTGCTTACGTCAGCCCCCCACTGCTACTCTCACAATTATAACGATTAGAAATATGTACACTATTTTAAGTTACTTTGATTAATATGTAAACATATAACAAATAACATGTCATTAAATTTTAAGCAGCCTGGTGGGAGAGATGATGTTTCCAAGGGACTTTTCCTGACCATCTCATATCACCCACTAAGGAGTTTCTCATTCTACCGAAAAGGAATGATTCTTATGCACTTTAATTTCCAATATGTGTATAATAACATTCATGTAGTCAATTACTAAGCACTGATCTCCATCTTCACCTTCAAAAACTTTCAAAATATTAAAAAGGTAACAGTACACAAAGTTAAACTACTGCTTCCTACTCTAGTTCTTACAAAAGCCTCCATCGTTGATTGTCAATACTCTCTTCCCTCCTAACCAACACCCTGAGATACACTTCAGCTAATGTGCAAACCTTATGTCTTAACAGAAATTTCCTGTGCTTGGAGAAATACATTTAACACTCATTCCCATGAAAAGTTTTAATACTCAAAACCGTTTATTATAGTTTCACATTCTTTGTGCTCCCTTTTCTATATACTGTGGCCATGACGTGTTGTTGGCTATGAGCTGAATAGTTCCAAAGAAACCAGAATTATCTAAGCTAAATTTGACCCCTAATTGTAGCAAACCTAAGGCTAAACAAGACATCATCCAAATATTAAGTAACTCTGGGATCTCAAGTGAGAACAAGATTTGTTCTCTCACTAGCTGTGTGCTTCCTGACAAAGTCACCAACCTCTATGTGTCTCTGACTTCATCAGTAGTCAGAAGGTAATATAAAAAAAAATGTGTGCTTATAGGGGTTTTATGACGTTCAAAGAAAAGAAAAAATGTAAAAATAAACAGTAATGATGCACTATATAAATATTCATTATCTTAGTGTTCATAAAGAAAATATCTAAAGTTTAAAATGTAATAAAAAAATTAAAGCATAATGTTAACTAACTCAAAACACAAAATTGCTGACATTCTGACATTCTCCTATAAACATACTAGACTTCCATTCATGAATAGTTGGTATTAATCATACTCAAATGATGATACCACTAATTGTTCAGCATTATAATTAAAATAAAAAGATATTTTCTGTAGACTTGTTTTTTCTTACTATCTCATGTGATCTTGATTCACCCATTCATTGTTTTCCTCATTCCATCAATATCTGAATGCCTATTGTGTGCCAGCAACTGTGCTAAGTGCCACAACTTGCAAAGGAATAAGACACAATCCCTTCTCACTAGTCAAATTGAGTTGAGTCATAATTAATCATGTAAGAAGATTATACAACATAAAAATATTTTGGTTTGTGTAAAGAATATTGTAGGAATGCAAAAAAGAAAGTCACCAATCCAGCCTAAGAGAGTCTTCAAGGAGATGGTAGTCTGTGCAGGGTCTTAAAGGATAGGCCCCCTTCTAAGTTCTTGCTAGAGAAAAGCACCAGGTTCAACAAAAAGGGGAAGAACTTCATAGTGTGAAGACAAAGGATCTGGTTAGCACAAAAACATAATTGTAATCGTTTAGAAAATAATTATGTAGGCCAGGGGTCAGTCTAAACTCAATTTTTGTAGTCAACGCCCTTCAAAATCTGGCTTCTACCTAACTTTTCAATGTTATACCCCAGTAGATGTGCAGCACACCAGTTGAAAGTATATGCTAGAATCAAACAAGCCTGTATTCAAATCCCACCCCAAGATGACTGTTAGAGTAGACTTGGGCAGATGAAAACCTTTCTGAGCCTCTGTTTCCTCACGTATAAAAATGGAATGATGATATGCCAGATTCATTAGATTCTTATGAGGAGTTCAAGAGTTGAGATGTATAAAGTATTTAGCACTTATTAAACACTTAAGTTCTCAAAAAACATTAGCCAAGTCTTCTAATTGTCTACCCAATATCCATTTCCCATTCCTTCTTGCTAAAGAATCTCTATTTTGGTGGGGCACCATCTACCAAGCTAAGAACTATATTCCTTCCATTCTCTTACACAGAGAGGTGACAATATCACACAATTCTGACCACTGAGATATTAAGTAGAAGTCACTGGACAGGCTTCCAAAAAATCTTTAAAAGAGGAACAGATTCAAGAGGCTTATATTTTTCTGCCTTTTGCCATTCTTCCTTTTTTCCCCTTGGAACATAAACTTGATGACTAGAACTGGAGCAGCCATTCTGTGACTGCATGAAAGAATGAGAGAATCACAGAAATCTTGGCCCAGATAAACTTAAGCCACTAAATTAACACAGCAATTGTCTGCCAATGGATTCTAATGCTGTGGGAAAAAATAAACCCCTATCTCCAGGCCTGGAAAGCATGAGGATTAAGATGTGCTTCCTAAACTTACAGTACACACACAACTCTTAATATTTAAGCAGACCCAAAACACCTTACCCAAATGCCTTAGGCCCAGAAAGGCTGCAGAATTCAGATAGCTAATAGGGTCCATTTATCATATACTACCAAATACCCCTAAACAGAATTGGGCAGCACCCTGTCCTCAAGCATAGGAATATTTTTGCAGAGAAATGTATGAATATTCAGACTAAGTGAGATATGTCAAGACCCTAAGTAGTAAACATCAACTCAGGTCAGGTATCTTCAAGTACAGTCAGGCCAACAGAGATTTTGCCACTAAATAGGTTACATTCATGTTTCTCAGCTTTTGGGATTTGGGGATTGTGTATAATGGACCATGGATCTGTAGTAAAAGACAGAATGTATCTATAATCCAAGTGTAAGTAATATGCTGTGGGGGCTGAATAGAAAAATATATTATACCTGGCTCAGAGGAATCAGAAAAAGTATCTCGAGTAAAGGAACCCCTGAGCTTAAACCATAATTGATGATTAAGATTTTTGAGGGTGGCAGCCAAGATGGCCGAATAGGAACAGCTCTGGTCTACAGCTCCCAGCGTGAGCGACGGAGAAGACAGGTGATTTCTGCATTTCCATCTGAGGTACTGTGTTCATCTCACTAGGGAGTGCCAGACAGTGGGTGCAGAACAGTGGGTGCACTGCATTGTGCACGAGCCGAAGCAGGGTGAGGCATCGCCTCACTCGGGAAGCACAAAGGGTCAGGGAGTTCCCTTTCCTAGTCAAAGAAAGGGGTGACAGACAGCACCTGGAAAATCGGGTCACTCCCACCCTAATAGTGCGCTTTTCCAACGGGCTTAAAAAACGGCACACCAGGAGATTATATCCGGCACCTGGTTCGGAGGGTCCTACGCCCATGGAGTCTCGCTCATTGCTAGCACAGCAGTCTGAGATCAAACTGCAAGGTGGCAGCGAGGCTGGGGGAGGGGCGCCTGCCATTGCCCAGGCTTGATTAGGTAAACAAAGCAGCCAGGAACCTCGAACTGGGTGGAGCCCACCACAGCTCAAGGAGGCCTGCCTGCCTCTGTAGGCTCCACCTCTAGGGGCAGGGCACAGACAAACAAAAAGACAGCAGTAACCTCTGCAGACTTAAATATCCCTGTCTGACAGCTTTGAAGACAGTAGTGGTTCTCCCAGCACGCAGCTGGAGATCTGAGAACTGGAAGACTGCCTCCTCAAGTGGGTCCTTGACCCCTGAGCAGCCTAACTGGGAGGCACCCCCCAGTAGGGGCAGACTGACACCTTACAAGGTCGGGTACTCCTCTGAGACAAAACTCCCAGAGGAACGATCAGGCAGCAGCATTTGCGGTTCACCAATATCTGCTGTTCTATAGCCACCGCTGTTCTACAGCCACCGCTGTTCTGCAGCCACCGCTGCTGATACCCAGGCAAACAGCATCTGGAGTGGACCTCTAGCAAACTCCAACAGACCTGAGGGTTCTGTCTGTTAGAAGGAAAACTAACAAACAGAAAAGACATCCACACCAAAAACCCTTCCGTACATCACCATCATCAAAGACCAAAAGTAGATAAAACCACAAATATGGGGAAAAAATAGAGCAGAAAAACTGGAAACTCTAAAAAGCAGAGTGCCTCTCCTCCTCGAAAGAAACACAGCTCCTCACCAGCAACGGAACAAAGCTGGACGGAGAATGACTTTGATTAGCTGACAGAAGAAGGCTTCAGACGATCAAACTACTCCGAGCTACAGGAGGAAATTCAAACCAATGGCAAACAAGTTAAAAACTTTGAAAAAAAATTAGACGAATGGAAAACTAGAATAACCAACGCAGAGAAGTCCTTAAAGGAGCTGATGCAGCTGAAAGCCAAGGCTCCAGAACTACGTGAAGAATGCAGAAGCCTCAGGAGCCAATGCAATCAACTGGAAGAAAGGGTATCAGTGATGGAAGATGAAATGAATGAAACGAAGCGAGAAGGTAAGTTTAGAGAAAAAAGAATAAAAAGAAATGAACAAAGCTTCCAAGAAATATGGGACTATGTGAAAAGACCAAATCTACGTCTGATTGGTGTACCTGAAAGTGACAGGGAGAATGGAACCAAGTTGGAAAACACTCTGCAGGATATTATCCAGGAGAACTTCCCCAATTTAGCACGACAGGCCAACATGCAGATTCAGGAAATACAGGGAATGCCACAAAGATACTCCTCGAGAAGAGCAACTCCAAGACACATAATTGTCAGATTCACCAACGTTGAAATGAAGGAAAAAATGTTAAGGGCAGCCAGAGAGAATGATCGGGTTATCCACAAAGGGAAGCCCATCAGACTAACAGCTGATCTCTCGGCAGAAATTCTACAAGCCAGAAGAGAGTGGGGGCCGATATTCAACATTCTTAAAGAAAAGAATTTTCAGCGCAGAATTTCATATCCAGCCAAACTAAGCTTCATAAGTGAAGGAGAAATAAAATCCTTTACAGACAAGCAAATGCTGAGAGATTTTGTCACCACCAGGCCTGCCCTAAAAGAGCTCCTGAAGGAAGCACTAAACATGGAAAGGAACAACCGGTACCAGCCACTGCAAAAACATGCCAAGTTGTAAAGACTGTCAAGGCTAGGAAGAAACTGCATCAACTAATGAGCAAAATAACCAGCTAACATCACAATGACAGGACCAAATACTGCATAACAATATTAACTTTAAATGTAAATGGGCTAAATGCTCCAATTAAAAGACACAGACTGGCAAATTGGACAAAGAGTCAAGACCTATCAGTGTGTTGTATTCAGGAAACACATCTCACATGCAGAGACACACATAGGCTCAAAATAAAGGGATGGAGGAAGATCTACCAAGAAAACGGAGAACAAAAAAAGGCAGGGGTTGCAATCCTAGTCTCTGATAAAACAAACTTTAAAGCAACAAAGATCAAAAGAGACAAAGAAGGTCATTACATAATGGTAAAGGGATCAATTCAACAAGAAGAGCTAACTATCCTAAATATATATGCATCCAACACAGGAGCACCCAGATTCATAAAGCAAGTCCTGAGAGATCTACAAAGAGACTTAGACTCCCACACGATAATAGTGGGAGACTTTAACACCCCACTGTCAACATTAGACAGATCAACAAGACAGAAAGTTAACAAGGATATCCAGGAATTGAACTCAGCTCTGCCCCAAGCAGACCTAATAGACATCTACAGAACTCTCCACCCCAAATCAACAGAATATACATTCTTTTCAGCACCACAACACACCTAATCCAAAATTGACCACATAGTGGGAAGTAAAGCACTCCTCAGCAAATGTAAAAGAACAGAAATCACAACAAACTGTCTCTCACACCACAGAGCAATCAAACTAGAATTCAGGATTAAGAAACTCACTCAAAACCGCTCAAACTACATGGAAACTGAACAACCTGCTCCTGAATGACTACTGGGTACATAATGAAATGAAGGCAGAAATAAAGATGTTCTTTGAAACCGATGAGAACAAAGACACAACATACCAGAATCTCTGGGACACATTCAAAGCAGTGTGTAGAGGGAAATTTATAGCACTACATGCCCACAAGAGAAAGCAGGAAAGATCTAAAATTGACACCCTGACATCACAATTAAAAGAACTAGAGAAGCAAGAGCAAACTCATTCAAAAGCTAGCAGAAGACAAGAAATAACTAAGATCAGAGCAGAACTGAAGGAAATAGAGACACAAAAAACCCTTCAAAAAATCAATGAATCCAGGGGCTGGTTTTTTGAAAAGATCAACAAAATTGATAGTCTGCTAGCAAGACTAATAAAGAAGAAAAGGGAGAAGAATCAAATAGACACAATAAAAAATGATAAAGGGGATATCACCACCGATCCCACAGAAATACAAACTACCATCAGAGAATACTATAAACACCTCTACACAAATAAACTAGAAAATTTAGAAGAAATGGATAAATTCCTGGACACATACACCCTCCCAAGACTAAACCAGGAAGAAATGGAATCTCTGAATAGACCAATAACAGGCTCTGAAATTGAGGCAATAATTAATAGCTTACCAATCAAAAAAAGTCCAGGACCAGATGGGTTCACAGCCAAATTCTACCAGAGGTACAAGGAGGAGCTGGTACCATTCCTTCTGAAACTATTCCAATGTAAAGAAAAAGAGGGAATCCTCCCTAACTCATTTTATGAGGCCAGCATCATCCTCATACCAAAGCCTGGCAGAGACACAGCAACAAAAGAGAATTTTAGACCAATATCCTTGATGAACACTGATGCAGAAATCCTCAATAAAATACTGGCAAACCAAATCCAGCAGCACATCAAAAAGCTTATCCACTATGATCAAGTTGGCTTCATCCCTGGGATGCAAGGCTGGTTCAACATACCCAAACCAATAAACATAATCCAGCATATAAACAGAACCAAAGACAAAAACCACATGATTATCTCAATAGATGCAGAAAAGACCTTTGACAAAATTCAACAACCCTTCATGTTAAAAACCCAATAAATTAGGTATTGATGGGATGTATCTCAAAATAATAAGAGCTATCTATGACAAACCCACAGCCAATATCATACTGAATGGGCAAAAACTGGAAGCATTCCCTTTGAAAACTGGCACAAGACAGGGATGTCCTCTCTCACCACTCCTATTCAACATAGTGTTGGAAGTTGTGGCCAGGGCAATCAGGCAGGGGAAAGAAATAAAGAGTATTCATTAGAAAAAGAGGAAGTCAAATTGTCCCTGTTTGCAGATGTCATGATTGTATATCTAGAAAAACCCCATCATCTCAGCCCAAAATCTCCTTAAGCTGATAAGCAACTTCAGCAAAGTCTCAGGATACAAAATCAATGTGCAAAAATCACAAGCATTCTTATACACCACTAACAGACAAACAGAGAGCCGAATCATGAGTGAAATCCCATTCACAATTGCTTCAAAGAGAATAAAATACCTGGAATCCAACTTACCAGGGATGTGAAGGACCTCTTCAAGGAGAACTACAAACCACTGCTCAATGAAATAAAAGAGGACACAAACAAATGGAAGAACATTCCATGCTCATGGATAGGAAGAATCAGTATCATGAAAATGGTCATACTGCCCAAGGTAATTTATAGATTCAATGCCATCCCCATCAAGCTAACAATGACTTTCTTCACAAAATTGGAAAAAACTACTTTAAAGTTGATATGGAACAAAAAAAGAGCCTACATTGCCAAGTCAATCCTAAGGCAAAAGAACAAAGCTGGAGGCATCACGCTACCTGACTTCAAACTATACTACAAGGCTACAGTAACCAAAACAGCATGGTACTGGTACCAAAACAGAGATATAGATCAATGGAACAGAACAGAGCCCTCAGAAATAATACCACAAATCTACAACCATCTGATCTTTGACAAACCTGACAAAAACAAGAAATGGGGAAAGGATTCCCTATTTAATCAATGGTGCTGGGAAAACTGGCTAGCCATATGTAGAAAGCTGAAACTGGATCCCTTCCTTATACCTTATATGAACATTAATTCAAGATGGATTAAAGACTTATATGTTAGACCTAAAACCATAAAAACCCTAGAAGAAAACCCAGGCAATACCATTCAGGACGTAGGCATGGGCAAGGACTTCATGTATAAAACACCAAAAGCAATGGCAACAAAAGACAAAATTGACAAATGGGATGTAATCAAACTAAAGAGCTTCTGCACAGCAAAAGAAACTACCATCAGAGTGAACAGGCAACCTACAGAGTGGGAGAACATTTTTGCAATCTACTCATCTGACAAAGGGCTAATATCCAGAATCTACAATGAACTCAAACAAATTTACAAGAAAAAAACAAACAACCCCATCAAAAAGTGAACAAAGGATATGAACAGACACTTCTCAAAAGAAGACATTTATGCAGCCAAAAGACACATGAAAAAATGCTCATCATCACTGGCCATCAGAGAAATGCAAATCAAAACCACAATGAGATACCATCCCACACCAGTTAGAATGGCGATCATTAAAAAGTCAGGAAACAACAGGTGCTGGAGAGGATGTGGAGATATAGGAACACTTTTACACTGTTGGTGGGACTGTAAACTAGTTCAACCATTGTGGAAGTCAGTGTGGCGATTCCTCAGGGATCTAGAACTAGAAATACCATTAGACCCAGCCATCCCATTACTAGGTATATATCCAAAGGATTATAAATCATGCTGCTATAAAGACTCATGTACACGTATGTTTATTGCGGCGCTATTCACAATAGCAAAGACTTGGAACCAACCCAAATGTCCATCAATGATAGACTGGATTAACAAAATGTGGCATATATACACCACGGAATACTATGCAGCCATAAAAAGGATGAGTTCATGTCCTTTGTAGGGACATGGATGAAGCTAGAACCATCATTCTCAGCAAACTATCACAAGGACAAAAAACCAAACACCACATGTTCTCACTCATAGGTGGGAATTGAACAATGAGAACACTAGGACACAGGAAGGGGAACAGCACACACTGGGGCCTGTTGTGGGGTGGGGGGAGTGGGGGGGGATAGCATTAGGAGATATACCTAATGTAAATGATGAGTTAATGGGTGCAGCACACCAACATGGCACATGTACACGTATGTAACAAACCTGCACGTTGTGCACATGTACACATATGTAACAAACCTGCACGTTGCGCACATGTACCCTAGAACTTAAAGTATAATAATAATAAAAAAAGAATTTTAGCATCAATGTTCAAAATATATATGTATACGTATATATATACACACACACACATATATATACGTATGTATACATGTATATATGTATACATGTATACGTGTATATATATATGTGTGTGTGTGTATATATATATATATACACACACACATATATATATACACCATCCTAGGGCCCAAAACATTTTTTTGAAATTTCATGTAGAATGTCCAGTACACAATCCAAAATAACTAGCACATGAAGAGATAAAGCAATCTGTGGGAAAACTAAGAGAAACAATAGAATACTATAGGATGAAACCCACAGAGAGTTCAGATTATGGAGTTATTGAATGTAGACATTAAATAATTATCCTTAACATACTTTATGAGATAAAAGGAAAAATCAAGAATTTCTGCTGAAAACTTAAAACTATAAAATAAGCCATTTGACAATTCTAACTCTGAATAACACAATAACCAAAATTAAGAATGCACTGGATGAGTTTAGAAGTAATTAGCCAAACTGAAGAGTATCAGGAAACTGGGAGATGAGTCAGAAAAAAATATCCAGAGGGAAGCATGGGAAGAGAAAAGGTTAAAAAATACAACAGACTGTAAGATAGACACAGGGGATAGAGTGCAAAGAGTCAACCGGGGTGTCCTTGGAATTCCGGAGCAAAGAGAATGTCAAGTTATAAGGAGATAAAGTTATAAAGAGATAGTAGCAGAGAATTCTCCAAAACTGATCCCGGCAAAAAATGAGCCCTCCCACTACACCAGGGGTCAGCCAAATTTTGCCAGTGGCCTGTTTCGGTATGACTTGTGAGCTAAGAATGTTTTTTGTTTGTTTGTTTGTTTGTTTGTTTGTTTACATCATTAAAGGGTCATGAAAGAAGAAGAGGGGAGGAAAGGAGGAGAGACCACATGTGGCACACACAGCCTAAACAAATTATTTGCCCCTTTACAGAAAAGGTTTGCTGACACCTGAACCACAGATGTAAGGATTCCTATAAACCCCATGTGCTCCTCTAAATCTACACTTTGCTTGGTATCTCAGATCACCAATGAGGAGAACTAAAAGAAGTTTGGAAGGAGAAGAAAGGTCAATGAGATTACGGTATTTATTTCCCCAGGTGCCTCCAACAAGTCACCATAGGATGCCTGCATCCCTTGACCAAAATATAAATTCGTATAAAGTAACTTTCTTCACACTATCTCTCTGCTTCTAGCTATTAGTAAAAGCTCCCCTTCCCTTTCATGTTAGGGGTGATAAAGCCCCTAACTCTAATCCTGATCCAGGCTTCTGCTGTTACTAGCTCCCAAGTCTGCACTATCCCCTGCTGTTTCGTTATATCTTACCCAATGCATTAATTATCTATTATCTACGAGGTCTGACAGATGGTGGCCATATCTAGGTATAGGATAATAAAACTACTAGAAGAGATGAAAGAGAAGGAGGAAGAGGAGGAGAAAGGAAGAAAGAGAATAAATCTTAAAAGCACCAGAGAAAAAGAATTCCTACGATGGACAACAATTAAACTAAGAGCTAAATTATCAAAAGAAATAATAGAAGTCTGATGAACTATGGAAAAATATATTCAAATTACCTAAAGAAAATAATTAGCAATTGGCCGGGTGCGGATAATCCCAGCACTTTGGGAGGCCGAGGCAGGCGGATCACGAGGTCAGGAGATGGAGACCATCCTGGCTAACACAGTGAAACCCCGTCTCTACTAAAAATACAAAAAATTAGCCAGGCGAGGTGGTGGGCGCCTGTAGTCCCAGCTACTTGGAAGGCTGAGGCAGGAGAATGGCGTGAACCCCGGGGGACGGAGCCTGCAGTGAGCCTAGATCGGGCCACTGCACTCCTGCCTGGGCGACAGCGAGACTCTGTCTCAAAAAAGAAAAAAGAAAAAGAAAATAATAAGCAATCATGAATCCAATCACACCAGTGCAAATATCTTTCAAGAATTAAAACAAAATAAAGGTATTTTTCAGACAAACAAAATATGAGAATTGGTCACCAGCAGACTAAATAAATGCTAAAGGGTGTTCCTCAGGCAGAAAGAAAAATTTACCAGATGGAAGGTAGAAGATGATTGAAGGGATGAGGAACAATGAAAGAGGAAACAGATATACGTATCGATGCATAAGACAACAATGAATATACATATAGTATATATATGCTTGAAAATAATAACATATAAGAAAGTAAAAGAGTTTAAAGCATTCTAAAATCCTTGCAATATCTAGGAAGGGGTACAAGTACTAATTTACAATAGAATTGTATTTTTCAGAGTGCCCACCCAAAGTGTAGTAAAATAATATAGAAAGTTAACAGAAAGGTGAATAATACAAAATAATCAATCCCAAAAGAAGATAAAAGAGGAGAGGAGAAAAAGAGAAAAAGTGAAACAACTAAGAGCAAATAGCAAGACAGAAGATAGAAACTAAGATATCACATCAAATGTAATAAAGGTGATGAATTAAATCCTTCAAATTAAAGACAAGTGTGTCAGAGTGGATTTAAAAAATAGGCTTCTTAGAAGAGATATATCTAAAATACAAGAATATAGCAAGGTTTATGTTAAGGGATAGAAAAATATACCATGTAAACACTAAAAACAAATCAAAGCTGGTGTTGCTCTATTAATATCACACAAAGTAGACTTTAAAGAAAAATTATTACTAGATAGACACACTTCACAATGTTAAGGTTCAAATTAGCAGAAAGATTAAAAATTCCAAAATTCTAAAATAAAAGTTGTTTCTTTGGAAACATTTAATAATAAAGTTAGTAAATTGGCAATACTGATTGTAGAGGGGGAAGAAAGAGCGAATAAGAGAGATAATGAAGATGAGCAAATATAATCAATATGAGGAATGAAAAAAAGAAAACAGCATCACTACATATCTTACAGACATTAAAAGATAAAGAGACATTACTTATGAACAATTGTATATCAGTAACTCTGAAACTTTAAGTACAATAGAAATATTTCTAGAAAAATTCAGCTTACAGAAATTGACTCCAGAAGTAACAGAAAATTTGAATGGATCTTTGATTATTTAAATAATTAAATCCAAAATGGAAAATTCCAAGCCCAGATTGCCTCAGTTGGTGAATTCTTCTAAATATTTAAGGGAGAAATAAAAACGTTAAAATTCATTACAAAACTACATTGATTAACACAATGTGATATTGGTGCGGTAATATACAAACAAATCAGTGAAAAAGAATTGAGTCCTGAGAAAGATCCAGGCCTATAAAGACACTAATTAAGTGAAAGACTGGACTGAAGACAAGTGAAGAAAGGATGGCATTTTCAAATAAATGATACTAGGTCAACTGGATACCCATCTGAGGAAAAAATAAAACTTGATCTCTATTTCATAGCATACACGATAATCAGTCTAAGTGGATTTCAGATCTAAATGTGAATGGAAAACAATAAAACTAGCGGAAGATTATATGGGAAAATATCTTGAACTTGAAAGTACAAAATTTAAACAAGACACAAAAGCACATAAATGAAAAATTGATATATTTCTCTAAATTAAGAACTTTTGCTCATCAAAATGCATCCTAAAAAGAGAAAATAGGAAAAACACACAGTAGGGAAAAAAATATTTACAGCACATATAACCCATAAAGGGTTCATATCCAGACTATATAAAGAACTTCTACAAATCAATTTTTTAATAAAAAATGTATTATGTGTAGAAAAGGAGACCGCACAAGCACTTCATAAAAGAGAGTAACCAAAGATGCTCACTCCCAGCAAAAATTTATGAAACGATGCTAAATCTCTTTAGTCATTCAAAAAATATATATCAAAACTAGAATGAGGAACAACTAAAAACTCATTGGATTAGGTAGAATTAAGCAAACTGGAAACATCAGTGTTGGCAAGGAAGTAAAGCAGTGGAAACTCTCATGTATTGCAACCACTTTGTGCAAAGCACTCAATGCAACCACTTTGGACAGCTGTTTGGCAGTATTTACCAAACAATATACATACACGTATAGCCCAGCAATTCTACTCTTTCTAACAGAAATCAGGGTATTAAGAGTATGAATAATATTCATTTAAAAAACAACCTAAATGAACATCAACAGTAGATTGGATTAACAAATTGAAGTATGTTCACACAAGAGATTACAAACAATAACAATGAACTAACTACTGATGGACTCAAAAGCATTCCTGAATCTCTCAAAAGCAGTACTGAACAAAATGAGATAACATAAAAGAATGCATCATTGTCCTATTTAATTTATATGAAGATCAGAAATAGGCAAAATAAAAACTCTAGCGTTAGAAATCAAGTTGCTCTGGGGGAGGAGCAAGGGAGAAGTGACTAGGAACGATGAGGGATGTCTGGGAGTTGGTTACATTCTATTTCTTGACCTGGATGATGGCTACATAGATGCTTGCTTTGTTAGAATTCATTAAAAAGCATATTTCTGTTTTAAACACTTTAAAAGAAATAATCAGAACTGTGACACAAATTTATTTACAAAGACATACTGTTTCATTATTGTGATAAAAAAGTTAAAAAAAGGAAAAACCTAAATGCCAAATTTTGATATGTCCATACAATGAACTACTGTATAATCATTTAAGTTTCTGCTATAAAAGAATTTTTAATGTCATAAAAAGGGAAAATCTATTGTTGAGATAATAAAATGGACAACTCACTACATACAGTGTAATACCATTTTAATAAAATATATAAACATATATATATGCTTTATATATGAAGAAAAAAAAGACAGACAATATATGCCAAAATGTTAAGATAAAATCATGGGCAATCCTTATTTCTTTATTTCTACATCTATAATTTCTAAATTTTTTAAAGGTAACATGAAAAACTGAAATGAAAAATTGGAATTAAACAATTCTTCTTGTAAAGATTATCCAGAGGCTAACACTAAGTCTGTCTTCACTTGGAAGCACATCCCTGAGGCACGATATTTCACCAATAAGTCTAAAGCACTCTTCCTTGTAAGTTAACATTTATAGACTCCAGAGCTAAATATTGAATGATAACGTAAGAAATCATAAGATGTCTGCATGGCTCTGACACAGACTCCCAATCATTGTTCTCTTCTATCAGAGCCAGATCACAGAGCTCCTATTGCCCTTTCAATAGTTTAACTGGGTTAAGAGCTTCACGAACAACAAGCAAATGGCCAAGCTATTTTTCACTAACATTTGTCTTCCTTCACAAATAAAGATTAAACCAAAGAAAATCTCCTTCTCCCCTAGCCCCACATACAATGCCTGTGCCTAGCCTTTCCTGCCCTCATGTGGTCCTCCCGTTTCCCACTCAGCAAAGTTCCACCCCTCTTTCAACACCTTCCTCAACAGGTGTTTTTTGCTTTTTTCTGGAAGCCTCCTACAATTCTCCTAATCAAATTGTGCTCAGAAGTTTCCTCAGCACGTATGAGTCCTGCAAGGCCCTTCAGCAGATCATTCCTCCTTTGCTGCAACTTTCTCTTCCAGTGGCTTCTATAACTTCCAGTGTCATTTTCCTACCTCTGAGAATGTGCCATTGCCTACATTTAGATACATGAGGAAGAAGAAAAACTAATAAAATGATCTCAAAGTTCTCAGAATCTATTGTTTATAAAGAATCCAAATTACACATATTAGATGGCTACTCTCATCCATTAAGATGGCTATATACAGAAAATAACAAGGGTTAGCAAGGATGTGGAAAAAAGGGAACCTTGAGCACTGTTGGTGGGAATGTAAAATGGTAAAGCTGCTATGCAAAACAGTATAGTAGTTCCCTAAGAAACTAAAAATAGAATTATCATATGACTCAGCAATTCTACTTCTATATATATATACCCAAAAGAATTAAAAGCAGGGACTTGAACAGAGATATTTGTACTCCAGTGTTCACAGCAACATTATTCATAATCGCCAAAAGTAGAAGCAACTCATATCCACTGATGGGTGAATGGATAAACAAAATGTGGTATATACTCACAATGAAATATCATTCATCCTTAAAAAGGAAGCAAATTCTGACACAACATGAATAAACCTTGATGACATTATGCTAAGTGAAATAAGCCAGTTACAAAAGGACAAATATGGTAGAATTCCAATTATGAGGTACCTATGTTTGTCAAAAGAAGAACTGCCCAGCTGAGCCAAGCCCAAATTTCAACAGAATAATTATGCAACAAAATGTTTATTTTATTAAACCACTAAGTTTTAGGGTGGTTTCTTATGCAGCATTATACAACTGAAACAATTAATACTACACGCCAGTAAAAGTGAGCAAGCTACTGACACACTCAATATGGTTGAGGCTTACAGCCATTGTGCTGAGAGAAGCCAGGTACAAAAAGATTACACACTGAATCATTCCACTTATCTGTACTTCAAGAATAGGTAAAACTAATCTATGGCGATAGAAGTCAGAATAATGGTTATTTCAGTGGAGGGTAGTCTAGGATAAAATGGAGGAGAACCTTCTAGGGTGCTGGAGAAATCCGATGTTTTGATCTAAGTAGTGGTTATGTGCAAGTATACATTTGTAAAAATTCACTAAGCTGTATACTTTAATGTATTTTTATCACACTTGACTGTATATATTTTGTACCTCAGTTTTTTAAAGTTTCAAAAAATTCTACTGAAAGGAGATTAGCTATAACAAAGCCTATATCAGATTATGATTAGTGCTATGAAAACAGTAAAAGGATAGAAATTTGTAGTAGGGTTCTCAGGGAAAGCCACTCTAATCATGTAACGTTGAGCAAACACCTCAATGAAGTGAGAAGAAAGGCCATTTAGGGGAAGAATATTCCAGGCAGAGGGAACAGCAAGTACCCCAAGGCCAGCAAGAGGCCATGGCACCTGAAACAGAATAAGGCAGCCAAGGAACAGACTATGGAGTGCCTGATAGGCCACCATTGTGGATTTTATTGTGTGAGATGAGAGGCTGCTAGGTCTAACGTTGCCAACATGGAGAATGAGATGAGAACTGAGATCTGACCATTAGATTTGGCTACATGGACATCACTGGCACCTTTGACAACAACAGTTACAGTTTCAATAGAGTGACAAGGTTGAAAACCTGATCAGAATAAGTGCAAGAAAGAGAAGAGAAAAAGCAGAAACAACAAGTACAGAGAACTCTTTCTAGGAGTCTTTCAGTTAAAGAAGCAGGAAAATGGGGCAGCAGCTGGGGTATGTGGAGAGAGCTTTATAAAGAAGGGAAATATTCCTTGATCATATGAGAAAGGAAACAAGTGAGGAGTGGGCAAGAGGAAATGAATTCAGCACAGAACCTGACCCACGAGAAGGAGGGAAGCAGAGTACGTGGGGTGGGTGCAGGCCACAAAGTGGATTTAGTTATGGGAGTATATGTAAGTTATTTTCTTTTCTTTTTTTTTTTCTTTTTTTTTGAGATGGAGTCGCGCTCTGTCACCCAGGCTGGAGTGCAGTGGTGCGATCTCAGCTCTCTGCAACCTCCACCTCCCGGGTTCAAGCAATTCTCCTGCCTCAGCCTACTGAGTGGCTGGGACTAGAGGTGCTTGCCACCATGCCCGGTTAATTTTTGTATTTTTAGTAGAGACCGAGTTTCACTATGTTAGCCAGGCTGGTCTGGAACTCCTGACCTCAGGTGTCCTGCTCGCCTCAGCCTCCCAAAGTGCTGGGATTACAGGCATGAGCCACTGCGCCTAGCCAAGTTCTCTTTTTATCACTCCTCTTTTGTCAATGAATAAGAAGCAAGAGGATCAGGGGAGAGTACGAGCTGGGTGTTGTCAGTCTGAGGAGAGAGGAGAAGCTATGAAGGTTTGCCTTGTTGGAGAACACAGCCTGGGAAAATTCAGGGGGAATTCCACGTGAGCTGAAGTCAATCTGCACAATGATGGAGTTCTCCACTCACATTCTCCAGTCACATTCAGGGACTAGGGCACAGCCTAGCGGACGCAGAAAATAGAGTCCAAGTGGAGAGGAGTTTGGCCAGGTATTAGGACTGAGGGGCAGAGGAACAGGAGTTGGGGGAATGGGGTTCAGTGCACTAGTGGAGGTGACAGCCCAATCACAGTAGGTTCAAGGAATGGGAGGAGGGAAAGCAGGGACACGTTATTTCCCTAACTCATTCTCACCACTGCTTCCTAGGTACACCTTCAAAAACAAAAATCAGATGAGATCCCACCCTAATGGAAGTCCATGATGGCTTCTTTGTGCCCACATGATAAACTGTAAACTCCTTGGCAAGACTCTAGGATTCTTTATCACTGGACTTGGCCTTCTTCCCTCCCCCAGTGCTAACTCTGATTTGAACACAATGAATGTCTTGCTCATCCCTTATAGCACAGCCCTTTGCACATGTTCTTTCCTCTCCCAGAAATGCTCTACTTCCTCCTCACCAGACTAAACCTAGTCATCTCTGCCAGGAAGCCTCCCTGGATTCTCCCACAAGGCTAAGTGCTCCCTGTTGTAGGCTGTAACACCTTGAACTGACCCCTAGAATGCCCCTCACATTCTCTGCCAAGGTCTATTATCTGTGGCCCCTACTAGACCAGGGGCTCCTTGGGGAGTTGTATGCCTATCCCCTGCCATCTAAGTCAATTACATTTCTTTGAAGAAGGACCAATCTGAAAGAGGAGCCAAGAAAAGTTGGTAGGGAACTAAAAGAGAAGTAGAACTTGGATTGGCCAGAGAGCATCCTGGGAGAGAAGGATGGTGAGTCAACAGAGGGGAGTCAGACACAGCAGCTGAGTGAGTGTATTCTGCTCCCCAGTGCTAAACTCTTTTTTTTTAATCATACTTTAAGCTCTGGGATACACATGCAGAACATGCAGGTTTGTTACATAGGTATACACGTGCCATAGTGGTTTGCTGTACCCATCAACCCATCATCTACATTAGGTATTTCTCCTAATGCTATCCCTCCCCTACCCCCACAACCCCCAACAGGCCCTGGTGTGTGATGTTCCCCTCTGTGTCTATGTGTTTTCATTGTTCAACTCCCACTTATGAGTGAGAACATGCAGTGTTTGGTTTTCCGTTCCTGTGTTAGTTTGCTGAGAATGATGGTTTCCAGCTTCATCCATGTCCCTGCAAAAGACATGAACTCATCCTTTTTTATGGCTGCATAGTATTCCATGGTGTATATGTGCCACATTTTCTTTATCCAGTCTATCATTGATGGGAATTTGGGTTGGTTCCAAGTCTTTACTATTGTGAACAGTGCTGCAATAAACATATGTGTGCCTGTGTCTTTATAGTAGAATGATGTATAATCCTTTGGGTATATACCCAGTAATGGGATTGCTGGGTCAAATGGTATTTCTGGTTCTAGATCCTTGAGGAATTGCCATGAGGAATCTTCTACAATGGTTGAACTCTTGCATTGCCTCAGAGTGATTTGTTTTTAGGTTTTACATTTTTTTTAACTCTAGAATCACAGTTTCACGGTTAATCACTGCTTCCTGGAAGCCAGGCAGGATCGACTTCCTGCTGTTAGAAATGGTCCCCTAGCCACTCCCCAGCTCCCACACGTACACACCCCAGGTAGGATCATGACTCCGGTGCGTGTGCAAGGCACAGCATCTACAGTCCCGTCTTCCATGTGAAGCCTCTGCTTTAACAAGAGGCATGTCTCCTCCACAATCCTTCACTCACTGTGAGCACAAGTCAGGAGAAAGACTGATAAAATAAATCAAAGGAAAAGTTCTAGACAATGTTTCTAGCATGGAGGCAGCGGCAACATCACAAACATCACTGAAAACAGACTCAGCCCCTGGCCACTACTGGCAAGTCACACTCATCAAAAGAGAAATGCACTCATCCGCAGCACTTCCTGCTGCTAACAAGACACAGGAGTGAAAACTACTGTGTGTCTGATTTTGTCCTCTTTTTTCCAAAATAATTGGATAGAAGAAATACTCAGCACAAACATGAAAGATAGAAATGCCAAGGAAAAAAGAAGGAAATATGAGGACACTATGGTACAACTTAGTTTTTCTGTCCATTTTACTATCAGACATAATGACTTGTGAGAAATGTTGCTTTTACCCAGGTGCTACCACAGGCTGGTAAGACTGGTCAGCCTGCATCCTGGGGTCTCACCTCCTGTCCACCCTCCAATCAAACCCACAGCAGAAGGAAATCCCAGAACAAGACCTGTGCTGATCAGAATTGAAATCACCAGTGCTATAGAGTGATGATTTTTAATTGCTATTGCTAAATAAATCATGGTACATCCATACAATAGGATATTATTCTGCAATTTTAAAAAAGTTATCATGAAAAAAATGGAAGAACCCTATATGCATGTTGCTAAGTGAAAGAAACCAATCTGAGAGACTACAGGCTGTGTGATTCCTATGTTATGACATTCTGAAAATGCAAAACTATAAAGACATCAGTGGTTGCTAGGAATTGGGGTAGGGGGATGAATACGTGGAGCACAGGGGATGTTTAAGGCACTGAAACTTCTCTATATGATACTGTAATGGTTGATATGCATCATTACACACTTGTCCAAACCCATAGAATATATAATCCAAAGAATGAACCCTCGTGTAAACTATAGGCTATATGCTATATGAACTTTGGCTAACAATAATGTATTAATATTGGCTCATCAATGATGACAAGTATACCACAGTAAGGCAAAATGTTAATAGAGAGGAAACTGTGTGCGAGGAGGGGAGGGGAGGGTGGTCTCTGTACATCCCACTGCATTTTTCTATAAACTAAAACAGCTCTAAAGAATAAAGTCTACTAATTTTAAAAAACCAAATTGCTATTATGAGCTACAAGGACTGCCTATACAGTATTGTTAGAACTCAAAGGGGAAGAAAAGCCCTGGTCATCTCATGACTTTCACCTGACAGCTTCCCACCTGCTTCCAGCTGGACAGCAAGAGGAGTCACCTGTGTGAAAACTGAAATGCTAGCCATCTACCTAAAAAGAACCACAGGTAAGGACTGACAGCCATAAGTTAACAGGATAAGTAATGAACGTTGGTCCAACTTGCTTTCAGCGTCAGTGATAAGGAAAGCCTGGAAGAGCAGGGAATAGTGAGCCTAGAAGAACCTAGAGGTGAGGCCATTCACCCAGGAGAGATAAGCAGGGTAGGCAATGACACCTTGGAGTCAGTGCTGACCTCCACCCTCACCATCCATCCCCACACACCTGCACCAGTGACCTCAGGTTAGGGCCACACAGGCTAACCACTCAAACCTCTCACCCCTCAGCTGTAAGAAAGGTCCACGAAAATGAAGGGAACAGCAGGAGCCATGCCAGGGAATGATTCAGAGAAAGGGCCCCAGGGACTGAAATGCATAGTTTGGTTCCCTCAGCTTCCAGATTCTCTGAAGAGACAGCATGACCCGCAGGAGAAAGCACAAGCCCAGGAGTCAGGAGACTAGAGTCCGGTTTCACTACCTCAAAACAGCTGCCATCAGGCAAAAGGACAAACTGTCCCTTTCATCTGCAAAACCGGGATAATACCTGCTCTCAAGCCACAGAAGGTTAGAGCTGGGATGGGCTCATCACACAGGTCAGGCAAACCAAGTTGAGGGCGATGAAGTTATTTTCACAAGGTTGCACAGCTGGGTGACAAAGTCCCTCTTGGGTAACAAATTGCCGTCCTCCCAGTTCAGTGCAGCTTCTTCACTGCCATACAGAGTTAGGATAAAGGTGATCTGTGTGAGTGTTTTGGAAAGTTAAAATCACAAGATAAAGGAAAACTTGTCATGCTGTCATCTTTTCATTGGCACATTTTGCTCCTGTTCTGCTAGAAGGTAAGTATCTCCCATGAGTGTGAGCTCTTGGCAAGTGTCAGCTGCATCACTGGCACTAGCTGGTTGTGCTGCTGTCTGAGGTTACAGAGCCAGGGATAGAAAAAAGCTCTTGGCCACCTTCAGGCTCCAGGGCACCAGCATTGTCACCTGGGAGATAACAGCTCCCTTTTCCCCTTTGCATTTCCACACTTCAATAGCAGTAAGCAATAAGTTTCCTCGGGAGAGTGAATCTGTTTTGTCAGTAATAATTCAATCTTTAACACACGAAGCACACTAGCCCAACAATCCACTCAGCACTTGAAAGAGACTTATTTAGCTTCTGCTTTGACATACCCGTTCTAAGCTTTAGTTCGCTCTGTTTCCAGACCTTTTATCCTCCGAACATTTTAACTAATGTGCAAACATATTCTCAAACGGCCTCCGAAACAGATTATTACCAACAGACCGGAGAATGACGCAAATGTAGCCCATCTACATAAGTGAAACAAGTTTAGCCAAAGGGATCACTTGTGCAGCTTAAATCATGGAGATGGGCTATATCCACAGGGCTGAATTCATAATTGCAGGCTTTAACAATTTACCCCAGTTCTTTTTTGACCCAGACTTTGGGTGGCTCCAATCTTTTCACTTCAAGAACTCCCCACCCCCACTGCACACATACACACAGATGGCAAAGCCAACACAGCTCACGTCCTTCTTTGGTGGTCTCCACTGGCACACAAGTCCACTGGCATAATTTTGAGAACACCAAAGATGATTCAGCTAGCTCCACATGTATTTTTTTATGAGAAATGAGTCAATAATTTGTTTCTCTGCACACTCCCCCAGAGAAAGAACCTAGAGC
This sequence comes from Homo sapiens, assembly GCF_000001405.40. NCBI lineage: Eukaryota > Metazoa > Chordata > Mammalia > Primates > Hominidae > Homo > Homo sapiens. The sequence continues at coordinate 211,014,830 of NC_000001.11, forward strand.
ACAGGGAGCTGTAATCTTAGATTCGTAACTCCACAACAGATCACAGGTGAGAAGACAGCATATGGTGAATAGGAAGCCACTAAGCCATCAATCAGAATTCTCCAACCCAGGGGGTTTTCCCTCAGCCTGATCTGGGTTCAAAAGATGGGGTGCCCTTCATGGGCTCTCCAACATCCTGTAACAAACATCAACCATTCATTCCCATTAATTTAATGGTGTCATTTCACTAAAGGACTATGCCTGGGAAACTGCTGGGTCTGTCCCTTGGCAAGCATCTTTAACTGCCCATGTCATCCCCAACACAGATGCCTTGGGGAAAATGTAGCTGCCCACCTCCATCTACCTCCACCAGACCCCGTGTCCAACTTCTCTACCACATTCAGCCAAGCCAAGGAGTGAGCCACACACATCAGAAACTTCCTGGTCAGTTTTGACTCAACTGTCCTTCATTAAGTGTTTTGCTCCTATTTTATAAAAATCTGTTGCTATTAGGAATAGAGAAGAGTCAGAAGGGAACCCATTATTACTGTGATTATATGATATGTTATTCCATCTTGAGTGAGTCATTTCCCCTGTCTTTTTTCTTACTTGTGTATTAAGAAGGTTGAACTATAAGACCTCCATGGTCCTGTCAGGCTGTGACCTCAAGTGGGTCTATGTATTACCTGCTAAGTGTTCCCACCCCCCACCTTGTTTTCCTCCCACCCCAATTACAAGAAAGAGGTCACGGTGCTAGGACTCTTGTTCTTACAATAAGCTTCTGGAGGTAAGACTAATGCAGATGAGATTTAGCATTCACCAGACTTTAGCTCTTGGAGCTGGCAGGAAACTCAAATAATCCACCACCCAAATGCTATGCCTTCAGGCAGGTATAGTAGTATTATCCCCAAGATGTAGATAGGAAAACCATGATCCAGAAAGGCTAAATGATATGCACAAGGATCCCAGCTGTTTTAACAGGTGATACCAAGAGAACTAAAAGCCAAATCTTCCCATTCCTCACACTGATCTCCCTCCAACCACCAGAGTTGTTATGAAAGGGCATTATTTGAGGTGTTAGCCAAAGCTTTAAAAGAAATTACCAAATATAAAATTATGTCTTACAGAAGGAAACAATAGCTGTAGCCCTTAATATTTGTACTATTATTTATGACCAACAGGTGATAGTAAGAGCTTTGATTCTAAGCCCTTTACCAATGAGAAAGCTACAGATAACTAACATTTTTCTTATTAACCAATCTATTTCATGAATCTATAAATCAGAAACCACCATCAGGAGTATTTATAAATAATGGCAAAGGAGTTCCAACCCGACATATACAGTTGGTTTGGAAGGAGTTCCAACCCAACATATACAGTTTGTTTGGAAGGAGTTCCAACCCAACATGTACAGTTGGTTTGGAAAGAGTTCCAACCCAACATATACAGTTGGTTTGGAACTCTTTCCTAGGGGAGAAGAACTCTGCTCTGTTAACCTACCAGGTAACTGACACATTTTACATATGTGTTTATAGTTCTGCCAATTTTTAATAAGAATCTGTGGAAGCTGGAGAACTGTTCTATTTATCTGCAAAATTTCAGTCCATTACTCTAAATAGAAAATCGTTTATTTTAAAAACCAGTGTGCTTCTTAAGCTAAATTTCACTTTCCATATGTGTTTAAGAAGCTCTTTTAGATTCAGATAATTTATTTGAATTACCTAAGCCAAAATGATATTTTCCTAAGAAAAAAATTTCTAAAAATGTGCTCACAGAGAAAAGTATGATTCCCAACATGTACTAAAATTCTCATTTGTGGGCCAGGAGTGGTGGCTCACACCTGTAATCCCAGCTCTTTAGGAGGCCGAGGCAGGCAGATCACTTGAGGTCAGGAGTTCAAGACCAGACTGGCCAACATGGTGAAACCCCGTCTCTACTAAAAATACAAAAATTAGCCAGGCACAGTGACACGTGCCTATAATCCCAGCTACTTGGGAGGCTGAGGCAGGAGAATTGCCTGAACCTGGGAGGCAGAGGTTGTGGTGAGCTGAGATCACACCACGACATTCCAGCCTGGGTGACAGAGCAAGACTCTGTCTCAAAAAAAAAAAAAATTTTAAAATTAAAAAAAAAAATTCTCATTTAAGAACCCCAACGTTCATATTAGGTATGATTCTGCTCTTGTAAATGATCAGTCTTGACTCATTTCATCCCCCTACAAAATTCACACAAGCTACCCCAGAGAATTAGTCTTTGGGATTTTAAAGTATTTTAAAACCCACCACACAGATACAAGCATGGGTTGTTCTGAATCTAGAGCATCTGAGCATCCAAATTCTCTCCTTCCAGCTCTACATTGGCAGCATTTTGTAGGAAGAGCTACCCTTCACTGGAAAGAGAAGTGGTAATAGTTCTGTTTTCCCAGAGAAAAGGCTGCTGTCCCACCAACCGCTGGTACTGATCTGAAGGCAGAAAGGCATCATTATGCCACTAGTAAAACATGGAGTCACTGGCCAGGTCTTGATATCCCGGCAGGGAGCAAGCTGTTCCTTTCAACGTTCTCAAGCCTGAGTCCTATGAGCCGTTTAGTTCTGAAATGTGTCTTGAGCCTCAACTTGGCTTCCTAGATTACCCACACAACCCAGCTAGACTGAGACCTTGGGAGCCTCTGTAATCTGAAGCAATGAGGGCCCAGCTGAACAAGGCTGGAGACTTGCCAAATGAACTGCCTTATCTTAATCCATCTGGAATGTCCACTAGGAGTAAGAAAACGGAAGGACAATTCCCATAGAACACAAACTAGATAAGAATCTGACATTTTTCTTTGCAATGACTTGACATCCTCACTGTTTCAAAGAAAATCACCTTAATCAGTCCAGTGGCCCTTCCTGCTACCACATGTCCCAGGCGCTCATTCAGAAAATGACTTAGAGTATTTCCTAATTCCAACACATCTACACAGAATTTAGCTTCCTTTAATTTCATCCATTGCCTGCAGGACTAACAATTGAAAAGAGTTGCTATAGTTTGAATGTTTGTCTCCTCCAAACCTCATGTTGAAATTTGAGTCCCAGTGTTGGAAATAGGGCCTAATGGGAGGTGTTTGGGTCATGGGGGGTGGATCCCTCTTAAGTATATTAATGTCCTCTCTGGGGGAAGTGGGGTGGTGAGTGGATTCTCACTCCATTAGTTCCCACGAAAGCAAGTTGTTACAAAAAGCCTGGCACCTCCTCTTCCTGTCTCTCACTTCCTCTCTCACCATCTGATCTCTGGACAAGCTGGCTCCCCCCTTCACCTTCCACCATGAGTGACCTGGTCCTAAATCTTCCAGCCATCAGAATTTTGACTTTTCTTTGTAAGTTACCCTGCCTCAGGTATTTCTCTATAGCAACACAAAATGGACTAAAACAGCAGTATAATCCAAAAACCACAAGCTGATGCCTGACTACCTCAGTAAATGGTTGCCTCCAAACTCATTTTAGCAAAGAAATAACTCATCTCAAAATTTAACAGAAAAAAGTAAAAGCAAACTTTCAGGAAAATGGTATTCCTGTTACCAGGAGTTAATTGGCTATGAAACAGCCAAAAGTCAGCAGCAGATAAAAGAAAAGTCTGCATAACTAGAATAATCAATAGGTAGACATTCAGCAACTATATACTCAATAGAAGACTTGCCAGTGCAGTGGCCATGCATGCCTGCTGCTGCAGGCCCACCATTCCTGAACCAGTGGCTTACATTCCACGTGGAGTAGGAGTAAGCCTTTGGTCTCTTCCACACCCATTCACTGTCATGCAGGGCCTCCAAACCGCCAAAGGATGGGAACAGCAGGCAAGGGTATCTATCAAGCATGCTCCCTCTGTTCTGGACATCAGTCATGCTATTTCCCACCCATTTAATTATTCTTCTGTTGACCACCCACATTTAACTCAGTTTTAAAGACATGACAACAAGGTCTGAGATTTGAGGGATGTACCTGACTCTCTCTCCCCTCCAGTGGTGGTGGAATCTGATCAGCAAAACCAATCTTCCCTGGATCACCCATAAAGGCACTAACCTCATCCACGTTCTCAAAAGCGTTGATGACATCATATGGCAAACAGGACAGAAGGTCAATCACAAACCACGTCTTCAGGTAGTTCATGCGGATAAGTTTGGGGTCAGAAATCACCTCCCCTGCTGGTCCAACAAAGGTGGTATGAAAATTGAGCACAATGTCCACCAAAAAGATAACATCCACGATGCTATCAACAACCAGCCAGGCCACATTATTCTGCCTGGTTTTGAAGGAGACATTATAAGGGACCAAGATGGCTGTATAGAAGGTCAAGATCAAGATGATCCAATCCCACGTGGTCTTAAAAACACAATAATGTAAGATGATGTGAGGGGGAGTCTTTGGTGCCTCTTGCTTGTACTGGGGAAGGATGTCTGAGCCCAGCTGTAGGACCTGTACAGAAAAACATGACCAAGAGAGAACTAAGTTAGGATTTAATTGCAAGTATCTAACCAGTCAGCATCAGTGATTGACAAATGGTCACAATACTCTGGATAAATCGTCAGGTACAATAACAGGTATGAAAGAAGTATGGGAGAATGAAAGTGAACATTATAATAGAAATAATCATAAAGAAACAATTACAAATTACTATTTGGCTGTGAGCCAAGTGTTGTACTAAGCACTTTACACACATTTATTCTATTACACCTTTGTGTAATTCTAAATACACCTTTGTTCTATTAGCCAATTATTATTGGCTCAATTCTAAATACACCTTTGTTCTATTAGCCAATTATTATTCCATAAGTTAGAAACTGGGGCTCAAAAAGATTAAGCAACTTTTTATTCAATAAATATTAATTGCTCTGATTTCATCCAACAGCTGCAGAATACACATTCTTCTCATCAGCACATGGAACATTCTCCAGGATAGACTATATGTGAGATGACAAAACAAGTGTTAACAAATTTTTAAAAATCAAATTCATATCAAGAATCTTTCCTGACCACAGTGGAAGTACACTAGAAATCAAAACATGTGGAACTTGGGAAACTTTATGAATACTTGGAAATTAAATGTGCTTGTGAATGACCAGTGGGTCAATAGAGAAATTAAGAAGGAAATTTTAAAATGTCTTGAAACAAATGAAAATGAAAACATAACATAACAAAAACCTATGGGATACAGCACAAGAAATACTAAGAGGGAAAATTACAGCAATAAATGCCTACATCAAAGAAGTAAAAAGATTTTAAATAAACAACCTAACAATGCACTTCAAGGAACGAGAAAAGCAAGAACAAACCAAATCCAAAATTAGAAGAAGGAAAGAAATAATAAAATAAGAGTCAAAATAAATAAAATTAAGACAAAAAATACAAAAGAGCAATGAAATGACAAGCTGGGTTTTTAAAAACATAATTTTAAAAAAACCCAAACCTATAACTAAGAAAAAGAAATTCCCAATAAAATTCAAGATGAAAAAGGAAATATTACAAGAAATACCACACAAATACAAAGGATCATTAGAAGCTATTATGAATAATCATATGCCAACAAATTGGAAAACCTAGAGGAAATGGATAAATTCCTGGACACATACAACCTACCAAGATTGAAACAGGAAGAAATAGAAAACTCTAACAGACCAATAACAAGAAATAAGATTAATTGAATCAGTAATAAAAAAAAAAATCTCCCAACAAAGAAAAGCCCAGGACCAGATGGCTTCAAAGCTGAATTTTACCAAAGTTTTAAAGAAGAACTAGTACCAGTTATTCTCAAACTATTTTTAAAAATTGAAGGGGAGGGCATTCTTCCAAACTCAATCTATGAGTCCAGCATTACCCTGATACCAAAACCAGACAAAGGCAAAACAAAAAAGAAAACTACAAGCCAATATTCCTGATGAACCTACATACAAAATCCTCAACAAAACACTAGCAAACTGAATCCAACAGAACATCAAAAAAAAGGTATACTCTATAATCAACTGGAATTTATCCAGAGATGCAAGAATGACTCAACACTTGCAAATTAACAAACATGATGCATCACATCAGCAGTAGGGAAAAAAAAATGATTATCTCAATAGATGCAGAAAAAGCATTTGATAAAATTCGATATCCTTTCATGATAAAAAAAACTCAACAAATGAGGTATAGAAGAAAGGTACTCAAATGCCTTACATTTGCAGCAACCTGCATGAGATTGGAGACTATGATTCTAAGTGAAGTAACTCAGAAATGGAAAACCAAACATTGTATGTCCTCACTCATGAGTGGGGGCTAAGCTATGGGGATGCAAAGGCATAAGAATGACACAACAGACTTTGAGGACTCAGGAGGAAAGGGTGGGAAGGGGGTAGGGGATAAAAGACTACAAAATTGGGTTCAGTGTATACTGCTTGGGTGATGAGTGTACCAAAATCTCACAAATCACCACTAAAGAACTTATTCATATAACCAAACACCCACCTGTTCCTCAATAACCTATGGAAATAAAAAAAAATTAAAAATAAAAAAGACCTTACTTGATAAACCCACAGCTCACATCATACTGAATAGGAAAATGTTGACAGCCTTCCCTTTAAGATCTGGAACTAGACAAGAATGCCCATTTTCACCACTGTTATTCAACATAGCACTGAAAGTCCCAGACAGAACAATTAGGCAAGAGAAAGAAATAAAGGACATCCAAATGGAAAAGGAGGAAGTCAAACTGTCCCTGTTTGCAGATATAATCATATATTTAGAGAAACATAGACTACACACACACACACACACACACACAACCTGTTAGAACTGATAAACAAATTCACTAACGTTGCAGGATACAAAACTCAACATACAAAAGTCAGTAGCATTTCCATACACCAATAGCAAACAATCTGAAAATGAAATCAAAGGAACAATTCCATTATCAATAGCTACAAAAAAAATTAAATGTCTAGGAATAAATCTAACCAAAGAGAAGAAAAATCTCTACAAATAAAGCTATAAAACACTGAGATAAGAAATTGAAGAGGACACAAAAAATGGAAAAGTATTCATGGATTAGGAGAATTAATATTATTACAATGTGCAATTACCCAAAGCAATCTACAGATTCAATGCAATCCCTATTAAAATACCAATGACAATCTTCACAGAAATAGAAAAAATTAATCCTAAAATTTATATGGAATCACAGAAGACCCAGAATAGCAAAAACTATCCTGAGCAAAAAGAACAAAACTAGAGGAATCACATTACCTGACTTCAAATTATACTACAGAGTTATAGTAACCAAAACAACAGGGTAGTTGCATAAAAACAGACACATAGACCAATGGAACAGAACAGAGAACCCAGAAATAAATCCATGTATCTACAATGAACTCATTTTCAACAAAGGCGCCAAGAATATACATTGAGAATAGGACAGTCTCTTCAACAAATGGTGCTGGGAAAACTGGATATCCATATGCAGAAGAATGAAATTAGACCCCTATCTCTTCTCATATTCAAAAATCAAATCAAATGGATTAAAAATTTAAATCCAAGACTTCAAACTATAGAATCGATAAAATAAAACTTCGGGGAAACTCTCCAGGATGTTGGACTGGGCAAAGATTTTTAAGGTAAACCTCAAAAGTACAGGCAACCAAGGCAAAAATAGCCAAATAGGATTATATCAAGCTGAAAAGCTTCTGCACAGCAAAGTAAACAATCAACAGAATGAAGAGACAACCTACAGAATGGGAGAAAATACCTGCAAACTATTCATCTGACAAGGGATTAATATCTAGAATATACAAGGAATTCAACTCAACAGCAAAAATTGAATAATGTGATTTAAAAATGAGGAAGTAATCTGAATAGCTATTTATCAAAGGAATACATACAAATAAATGGCTAACAGGGATATGAAAAAATGCTCATCATTACTAATCATCAGGAAAATGCAAATCAAAATGCAATGAAATGTAATCTCATCCCAGTTAAATGGCTATTATCAAAAAGACAAAAAAAAGTGCTGATGGCCAGGCATGGTGGCTCACACCTGTAATACCAGTACTTTGGGAGGCCGAGGAGGGTGGATCACCTGAGGTCAGGAGTTTGAGACCAGCCTGGCCAACATGGTAAAACCCCATCTCTACTAAAAATACAAAATTAGCCAGGCATGGTGGTGGATACCTGTAATCCTAGCTACTCAGGAGGCTGAGGCAGGAGAAACACTTGAACCCGGGAGGCAGAGGTTGTAGTGAGCCAAGATCATGCCACTGCACTCCAGCCTGGGCGACAGAGCTAGACTCTGTCTCAGAAAAAATAAATAAATAAATAAATAAATAAATAAATAAATAAATAAATAAATTAAAAATGCTGGTGAGGATCCAGATGAAGGGGAATTATTACATACTTTTGTTGGGGATGTAAATTAATATAGCAGTTATGCAAAACATATTGAGTTTCCTTGAATAAAAATAGAACTACGATATGATTCAGCAATCCCATTGGTGGGTATATATCCAAAGGAAAGGAAAGAGCTATTGGCACTCCCATGTTTATTGCAGCATTATTCACAGTAGCCAAGATATAGAATCAACCTAAGTGTCCATTGACAGATGAATGGAAAAACAAAATATTAATGGATATATGTACCCAATAGAATATTATTTGGCCATAAAAAAAGAATGAAATCCTGTCATTTGCAGCTCCATGGATAACTCTGGAGGATATTATGTTAAATGAAATAAGCCAGGCACAGAAGGACAAATACCACATGTTCCGCTCATATATGAGAGCTAAAAAAGCTGACCTCCTAGAAGTAGAGAGTAGAATAGTGGTTACCAGAGGCTGAGAATGGTACAGGAAGAGAATGTGATAGGGAAGCGTTGGTTAATTGATACAAAATTTCAGCTAGAGTAAAAAAACAGGTAAGTATTTAAGGTGATGGATATCCCAACTACCCTGATTTGATTATATAAATTTATCATCCTATCACATGTACACCCAAAACATGCACATCTAATGTGCATCAATAAAAATCGTTTTTTAAAATTAGTATTTGATAGGAGGAATAAGTGTTCTATAGCACAGTAGAGTGAATAATAATTTACTATATATTTCAAAATAACTAGAAGAGAGGATCTTAAATGTTTCTAGCACAAAGAAATGAAAAATGTTTGAGGTGATGGAGACCTCAATTACCCCAATTTCATCATTACATACTGCATACACGTATCAAAATATCATGTGTACTCCATAAACATATATAATTATGTATCAATTAAAAACGTTTAAATATATTTATTGCTCTATGCCCGGAACTGTTCTAGGCACTGGACATGCAGCATTGAAGGAAACAGCATAATGCCTGCTCTCATGGAGCTCAGTCTAGCAGACAAATCAAAATCATTTCAAATTGTGATAACCACTAAATAACACTGGGGCAGGCAGAACACTGTGATTTGATAAAATATGACTTGAGTAAGAGAGGGAAAGTGTTTGAATTGAAACCTGAGTGACAACAAAGAATCAGCCATTTAAGTTTGTATGGAAAAATTATCCTAGGCAGAGGGCGTAACTGGCATAATAAGCCTAGGGTGAAATAAGTTTGATATTATCAGGAAAAGAAAGAAGTCCAATGTGGCTGAAGCACAGTGAGTGGGAGGAGGCGAGGGAGAAGATGCTAGATGAGCTCTGAAAGGAAAGCGGAAACTAGACCACACAGGACCCAGTGGAATATTGGGAGGTGTTAGATTTTATTCTATGTACGGCTGGGTGTAACCAGAGGATTTTAGGTAAAAGAATAATAATCTGATGCATGTTTCTAAAAGATCACCCTGGCTGCTTTGTAGATAATGAGTTGGGACAAAGGATTGAGGGAAGAACAGAATCAGGGTACTTGTTATAAACAGAGAAAAAGATGAGATGATAGAGAAAAGCAGTCCAATTTTGTACATATTAATATTTCTGCAGTATAGCCAGCTGGACTTGCTGATGGTGAGAAAGAAAAGAAAAAAAAAACAGCAAGGAAGAGTACCAACGACTACATTCCATGAGCCCAGCATGCTGGCTGGTCCAAAGTAGGCACTACAGGACTGTTTTTAAGTGAATGAGTCAACTCTAAGGTCCTACCTAGCAAGAGATGGTGACAGGATCACAAAACAGATCTAACTAGATTCAAAACGCATGCTGTTCCACATCACGGTTACATTTCCCTGAGTAACTCAGGCTTTTAAGGAAGCAGACTTAGTGCAGGAAGAAGTACAGAGAAGGCTGGCTCCAAGAGAGAATCACCAATGGGTTTCATCCACATTAGTCAAAGGCAACAAGCTGTGCCTTCTCATACCAAGCCAAGCTGGAAGGGACTCCCAGCTGCTCCTCTATGCCACTTGCAGGTTCTTATAAATCTCTAGGTAAAACTCCCTCTTGTGTCATAGGAACTTCTTGTTACCCCTAGAGGTTGAAGACCCTTTAGTAGAGGTAAGATTAGCTGAATACCCCTGTTTCCCCTATGGTTGACACCAGCCCTTAAAAGGGGGCAAAGGAAAGCTAGAAATCCAGAGTGTCAGTGTGCATCTTTGGGTAGAGGAACACTTTCCACCCCTCTTACCAATGCACTCCTACCTACTATGCTTGAGATTTTAATTTCTCTCTCCATGAAAAGGAAATTACATGAGTGTGATTAAGGAAGCTTGGATTCTGAGACCTCAGCAACAAAGAAGTTTGGCCTTTAAGAATTGTTGGGAAAAGCTGAGTGTTGAGAGAAGCTGAGGCAGAGCTTGCATAATGTGAAAGAGTCTTGGAACATGTCCAGGGTCCAGGGTCTAAAACCCCTCATGGCCTTTGGAACACCAAGCTCTGTGTTAAAGGGTGGAAGGCTACCCTGACGCACCATAATCTAAGCCCGGGGCATAAAACCCCTCCTGGCTTCGACAGAATCCATGGCTCAGGGCATAAAACCTCTCCTGACCTCTGGCATGTGTCTAGACTTGCTAGCTCCTTGCTTCTAGCCCTCCCAGCCTCCTAGATCAATTGTGTCTTAGAATTGGCCATATAAATGCTAAACCATCACAGCTGTAAATCATGTGCTTAATGCAATGCCCCCTTTCAACCCCACATTCTTGCCACCTGTATCTTTGTTTGATCACCAATAGTCTGGGCTTCTAGAGTTCAGGGCCTTTGCAGCCTCCATAACTAGCATTGGCCCCCTGGACTCACTTTGTCTCTCAAACTGTCTTTTCTCATTCCTTTGACTCTGCTGGACTTCGTTACTCCCACGACCTGGTATTGGGTCTGATCACCCCAACAAGAATACAGCAAATAAATGAACCTAATCAGATTTCCATTTCTGGAAAGACAGAGAAGACATATTTTTCCCTATTCCTCCCTCTAAGTGCAACTAAAAGCCTTGGTCATTATATCTAAAACAAATATAAGATGACTCTGAAAGGTGGAGAAAAGAAAGTAAAACGGCTAGGAATGACACAGTGGTGAGCTCTCTGGGTTTTCTTTTTGCCTCATGTGTTCCTGACTTGGAGCTGAAGAAGCCAGCAACCTGGAAACTCCAAGGAGTATAGACAAAAAAAAAAAAAAAAAAACAACCACAACAACAAAAGCCTATTCTTTCCAGCCAAAAGGAGTGGAAAATGGGCAGCCTCAAAAGACAGAAAGCTGTTAGATAATAACCACTCTACTATAACCATATAGCACAGAAAAATTTTGTGCCCCCACCCCGCCTCAGCTACGCCAGCAGGGCCTACTAGGAAGCCTAGACTTCCCCTTTCTCGAAGCTGTAATGAAGCACCCAATCTCCCATCTCCTCTCCTACTGAGATATTCCAGCCAGAAAAGGCCCAGTAAGGAGCATGGACTTCCACACAATGCCACCTCCACCAACAGTAATGAGGTGCCCCTTTCCCTCCTCAATGGGATGGTCAGAGGAAGCCTAGTGGAGAGTTGGGATTTCCACCACTGCCCAGCAGTCATGAGGTCACCTCCATCCCCCACAACCCAGAGAGGTATCCATGTAAGCTTAGCGAGGAGCTGGAATTCCTATCTCTACCTGGCAGTAACAAGGAGAAGCACCCCACTCAGGTGTCAATGGAGGCTGAGTGTGAAATCTGTATGTTTACCCCAACCTGGCAAAAGTGAGAGGATGCCTCCCTCTTCTTCTGCCATATAAATATTAAACCTAAAATTCAAAATTTAAATAAGATCCAGAGACTACCCAAATGCCAAACTTTCAATAAAAAATTCATTCATTATACCAAGAACCAGGAAGACATCAAATGGAATGAAAAACAGGTAATCAATAGATGCCAACACCAAAATTATATATCAGAAATATCAGACAAAGATTTTTGAACAGCCATCATAAAAGTGCTTTAACAAGTAATTAGGGACAAGTTTGAAACAAATAGAAAGTCTCAGCAAAGGAGATATAAGGAACCAAATGGAAGTTTTAGAACCAGAAAATGTAATAACGAATATAAAAAAAATCCAATGGATAGGCTCAAAAGCAAAATGAGGCCAGGCTCAGTGGCTCATGTCTCTAATCCTAACATTTTGGAGGCCAATGTAGGAGGATCTCTTGAACTCAGGAGTTCAAGGCCAGCCTGAGCAACATAGTGAGACCCCATCTCTAGAAAACATTTAAAAGTTGCCGTGCCTGGTGGTACATGCCTGTAGTTTCAGCTACTCAGCAGGCTAAGGTGGGAGGAATGGTTGAGCCCAGGCGGTTGAGGCAGGAGTGAGCCATGATCACTCTAGTGTAGGCAACAAAGTGGGCAACCCTGTCTCAGGGAAAGAAAAAAAAAAGCAAAATGAAGAAGATGAAGAAAAAAATTAGTGAACTTGAACTTGAAGATAAAACAATAGAAACTGTCCTATAATTGTTGTTCTGTAATAGAAAGTATCTGAACAATAGAGACAGAAAGGCAAATTACATAATGATAAAAGCATCACTCCACCAAGAAGACAGAACAATCCTGATGTATATGTACCAAACAAGAACTGCAAAATATGTAAAGTAAAAATCTGATAAAATCAAAAGGAGAAACAGACCCACAGTACACCTCTCTCAACAACTGATAGAGCAACTAGGTAGAAAACTAGCAAAGATATAGAAGAACTCAACAATACCATCAAACAATAAGATATAGAAGAACTCAACAATAGCATCAAACAATAGGATTTAATCAATATTTATAGAATACTCTCCCCAACAGGAGCAAAACACAGTTTTTACAAGTGTACACAAAATAATACTCAGGATAGATCATATGCTAGTCCATAAAATAAACCTTAATAAATACAACAATTAAAATCACCAGAGTGTATTCTCAGCTACAATGGAATCACACTAGAAACCAATAAAGATAATGGGAAAATATCCAAACACTTGAAAACTATAAATATCACACTTCTAAATAATCCATGGGCCAAAGATAAAGTGGCAAGGGAAACTTTTATTGAACTCAATGAAAATGAAAATAGAAGTGGGATACTGTTAAAGTACTACAAAAAGGGAAATGTTTATCACTAAATGTTTACCTAAGACAAAAAGTCTTAAATCAATATTCTAAGCTCCCACCTCAAGAATCTATCAAAAAAGAACAAAAATAAAACTAAAGCAAGCAGAAGGAAGGAAATAATAATGAACAGAAATCGATGAAATTAAAAACAGGAAAACAAGAGGAAATCAGTGGTCTTTGAAAAGATCAGTAACATAAAATAACATCAACAAACCTGTAGCAAGACTGAAAATAAAAAGAGAAGACAGAAATTACCAGTATTAAGAATGGAAAAGAGAATATCACTATAAACCCTGGAGACATAAAAAAAAATAAAAATAAGGTAATGTTACAAACAACTCTACACACATAAATATGACTAGTTAGGGGAAATGGACCTCAAAAACAACAAACTACCACACCAATAGCCACAAAATTATTGAGGGAATCAAATGCATAATTTTAAAACTCCCAGAAAAAATCCCCAGGCCCAGATGGTTTTAATAAATAATGGTGTCAAAATTTAAAGAAGAATTAACAGCAATTCTACACAATCTCTAAAAGAAAATAGAAGCAGAGGGAACACTTCTCAATTCATTTTGTGAAACTAATGTTACCCTGATTCCCAAAACCAAAGACAGTACAAAAAAGAAAACTACAGACTAATAGCTCTCATAAATATAGATGCAAATATCCTTAACAAATAGTAGCAAACAGAATTTAGCAATATATAAAAATGAGGCCAGGCATGGTGGCTCAGGCCTGTGTTCCCAGTGCTTTGAGAGGCTGAGGTAAGATGATGTTTGAGGCCAGAAATTCAAGACCAGCCATGGCAACATAGAGAGACCCCATCTCTACAAAAAAAAAAAAAAAAAAAGGTCAGGGGTGGTGGTACATGCCTATAGTCCTAGCTGCTTGGGAGGCTGAGGCAGGAGGATCACTTGAGCCCAGGAGTTCGAGGCTGCAGTGAGCTAGCATCACAGCACCACACTCCAGCCTGGGTAACCAAGCAAAATCCTGTCACTTAAAAAAAAAAAAAAAAAAAAAAAAGGTTGGGGTACATTTCAAGAGTGCAAGGCTGGCTCAATATTGAAAAAAAAAGCCATGTAATGTATGATATTAACAGGCTAATGAAAAAAACACTCTTATCAATTGATATACAAAAACACTCAATAAAATTCAACACCCAACACCCATTCATAAAACTCTCAGAGAAAAAAAATAGAAATAGAGGAGAACTTCCTAAACTTAATAAAGAGCATCTACCAAAAAACCTACAGCTAACATTACTCTTAATGGTGAAAGAATGAAAATTTTCCCCCTACAACAAGGAACAAGGCAAAATATCAGCTCTCACAATTCTTAATCAACACAGTACTGCTGTTGCAATAATGCAAAAAAAGGAAATAAATGGCATCCAGATCAGAGAGGATGAAATAAAAATATCCCTATTTGCAAATGACATAATGCTACACAGAACATCCCAAAGAATTCACATAAAAACTTCCAGAACTAATAAGTGAGTTCAGCAAGGTCATGTGATACAAGATACACATATAAAAATTACTGTATTTCTACACAATAGAAATGAACACCAAAATTACATAATACCATTTATAATCATTCCAAAAATACTTAGATGTAAATATAACAAAACGTGCAGGATTTGAATGCTGAAAACAACAAAATGCTGATGAAAGAGATTAAAGAAATGGAGAGACATACCATGTTCCTAAATTAGAAGACAAAACATACTGAAGATATCCATTCGCTCCAAATCGTTATACAAGTTTAGCACAATTTCTATCAAAATGCTGGCAAGAGTTTTTGTAGATGTGCACAAGATTACTTTAAAATTTATATGAAAGTCAAAGAAACAAAAATAGCTAAAACAATCTTGAATAACAAAAATAAAGTGGTTCAAACTCATCAAATTATATACATTAAACATAACTGGGTTTTTAGTTTTGGTTTTGGGTTAATATATCAATTATACTTCAATAAAGCTGTTTTTAAAAAGAAAGTAGGAGGAATCAGTCTAACCAATCACAAGACTTGATATATAGCACAGTAATGAAGACTATGTGGTATTGGAAAAAGAATATAGATTCATAGAACAGAATAGAGATTCCAGAAATAGACCCATACAAATATACTCAACTAATTTTTCACAATGGTGCAAACGCAATTTGTGCAGGAAAGACAGCCTTTTTAACAAACGGCATGGGAACAAGTGGACATCAATAAGCCAGAAAAGGAACCAGGACCTAAGTCTCGCATCTTATTTAAAAATTAACTCAAAATGGATTGTGGACTTAAATATAAAACATAAAACTAAAAAAGTTTTTTTTAGAAAAAAAAAGAAAATCTTCAGAATCTAGGGCTAGGCAAACTGTTCTTAGATTTGACACCAAAAGCATAATCCATAAATGGGAAAACTGACAAGATGGACTTCATCAAAATTTAAAACAAAAGACTGTGTTGAGGATGAAATGAAAATCTATGACTGAAAGGAATATCTGCAAAGCAAACGTCAAATAAAGAAATAGTATCTAGAATATATAATCTATAATATATAACCTCAAAACTCAACTATAAAAAATGTAAAAGCTGAGTAAAAGGTATAAACAGACATTTACCCAAAAGGAGATACAGATAACCAATAAGCACATGAAAAAAATGTTCAACTCATTAGCCATTCAGGAAATGCAAATTAAAGCTACACTGCGATATTACTACACACCTATTAAAATGGCTAAAATTTTTTTTAAAAGGGACAACACCTTTCAGAGAATATTATAAACACCTCTACACAAATAAACTAGAAAATCTAGAAGAAATGGATAAATTCCTCGACACATACACCTTCCCAAGACTAAACCAGGAAGAAGTTGAATCTCTGAACAGACCAGTAACAGACTCTGAAATTGAGGCAATAATTAATAGCTTATCAACCAAAAAAAGTCCAGAACCAGATGGATTCACAGCCAAATTCTACCAGAGGTACAAGGAGGAGCTGGTACCATTCCTTCAGAAACTATTCCAATCAATAGAAAAAGAGGGAATCCTCCCTAACTCATTTTATGAGGCCAGGATCATCCTGATACCAAAGCCGGACAGAGACACAACAAAAAAAGAGAATTTTAGACCAATATCCCTGATGAACATTGATGCAAAAATCCTCAATAAAATACTGGCAAACTGAATCCAGCAGCACATCAAAAAGCTTATCCATGATCATGATCATGAAACCATGATCAAGTGGGCTTCATCCCTGGAATGCAAGGCGGGTTCAACATATGCAAATCAATAAAAATAATCCAGCAAATAAACAGAACCAACGACAAAAAACACATGATTCTCTCAACAGATGCAGAAAAGGCCTTTAACAAAATTCAACAACCCTTCCTGCTAAAAACTCTCAATCAATTAGCTATTGATGGGATGTATCTCAAAATAATAAGAGCTATCTATGACAAACCCATAGCCAATATCATACTGAATGGACAAAAACTGAAAGCATTCCCTTTGAAAACTGGCGCAAGACAGGGATGCCCTCTCTCACCACTCCTATTCAACATAGTGTTGGAAGTTCTGGCCAGGGCAATCAGGCAGGAGAAGGAAATAAAGGGTATTCAATTAGGAAAAGAGGAAGTCAAATTGTCCCTGTTTGCAGATGACATGATTGTATATCTAGAAAACCTCATCATCTCAGCCCAAAATCTCCTTAAGCTGATAAGCAACTTCAGCAAAGTCTCAGGATACAAAATCAATGTGCAAAAATCACAAGCATTCTTATACACCAATAACAGACAAACAGAGAGCCAAATCATGAGTGAACTCCCATTCACAGTAGCTTCAAAGAGAATAAAATACCTAGGAATACAACTTACAAGGGATGTGAAGGACCTCTTCAAGGAGAACTACAAACCACTGCTCAGTGAAATAAAAGAGGATACAAACAATTGGAAGAACATTCCATGCTCATGGGAAGGAAGAATCAATATCATGAAAATGGACACACTGCCCAAGGTAATTTATAGATTCAATGCCATCCCCATCAAGCTATCAATGACTTTCTTCACAGAATTGGAAAAAACTACTTTAAAGTTCATATGGAACCAAAAAAGAGCCGGCATTGCCAAGTCAATCCTAAGCCAAAAGAACAAAGCTGGAGGCATCACGCTACCTGACTTCAAACTATACTACAAGGCTACAGTAACCAAAACAGCATGGTACTGGTACCAAAACAGAGATATAGACTGATGCAACAGAACAGAGCCCTCAGAAATAATGCCACATATCTACAACTATCTGATCTTTGACAAACCTGACAAAAACAAGAAATGGGGAAAGGAGTCCCTATTTAATAAATGGTGCTGGGAAAACTGGCTAGCCATATGTAGAAAGCTGAAACTGGATCCCTTCCTTACACCTTATACGAACATTAATTCAAGATGGATTAAAGACTTAAATATTAGACCTAAAACCATAAAAACCCTAGAAGAAAACCTAGGCAATACCATTCAGGACATAGGCATGGGCAAGGACTTCACATCTAAACACCAAAAGCAATGTCAACAAAAGCCAAAATTGACAAATGGGATCTAATTAAACTAAAGAGCTTCTGCACAGCAAAAGAAACTATCATCAGAGTGAACAGGCAACCTACAGAGTGGGAGAACATTTTTGCAATCTACTCATCTGACAAAGGGCTAATATCCAGAATCTACAATGAACTCAAATAAATTTACAAGAAAAAAACAAACAACCCCATCAAAAAGTGGATGAAGGATATGAACAGACACTTCTCAAAAGAAGACATTTATGCAGCCAAAAGACACATGAAAAAATGCTCATCATCACTGGCCATTGGAGAAATGCAAATCAAAACCACAATGAGATACCATCTCACACCAGTTAGAATGGCGATCATTAAAAAGTCAGGAAACAGCAGGTGCTGGAGAGGATGTGGAGAAATAGGAACACTTTTTTACACTGTTGGTGGGACTGTAAACTGGTTCAACCATTGTGGAAGTCAGTGTGGCGATTCCTCAGGGATCTAGAACTAGAAATACCATTTGACCCAGCCATCCCATTACTGGGTGTATACCCAAAGGATTATAAATCATGCTGCTATAAAGACACATGCACACATATGTTTATTGTGGCACTATTCACAATAGCAAAGACTTGGAACCAACCCAAATGTCCATCAATGATAGACTGGATTAAGAAAATGTGGCACATATACACCACGGAATACTATGCAGCCATAAAAAATGATGAGTTCATGTCCTTTGTAGGGAAATGGATGAAACTGGAAACCATCATTCTCAACAAACTATGGCAAGGACAAAAAACAGAACACCGCATATTCTCACTCATAGGTGGGAATTGATCAATGAGAACACATGGACACAGGAAGGGGAACATCACACACCGGGGCCTGTTGTGGGGTGGGGGGAGTGGGGAGGGATAGCATTAGGAGATATACCTAATGTTAAATGATTAGTTAATGGGTGCAGCACACCAACATGGCACATGTATACATATGTAACAAACCTGCACGTTGTGCATGTGTACCCTAAAACTTAAAGTATAATCAAAAAAAAAAAGTGACAACACCAACTGCTGGTGAGAATGCAGATAAACTAGATCATTCATATATTCTTAGTAGGAATGTAAAATGGTGCGGGCACTCCAGAAGAGTTTGGCAGTTTATTAACAACTAAATATGCAACTACCATATGACCTAGCAATTACACTCCTGGGCATTTATCCCAGAAGAATGAAAACTTATGTTCACATAAAAACTTGTACATGAATGTTTATAGCAGCTTTACTCATAATTGGCCAAAACCGGAAACAATCCAAATATCCTTCAACAGATAAATGGTTAAACTGTGTTGCTTCTATATATATCATAGAGCTCTACTCAGCAATAAAAATATAAAAACTATTGATACATGCAGCAATCTGGATGAATCTCCAGAGACTGAAAAAAAAACCTCAAAGATTACATACTTATGACTCCATATATATAATATTCTTGAAATGACAAAATTATAGAAAGAGACTTAGTAACTTACCAGGGCTTAAGGAAGGAGTAAGGGCAGGAAGGAAGGGGGTGGGGGGTGCCCATAAGAAGGCAACATGAGGTATTCTTATGGTGATGAAAATATTCTGTACCTTGACTATATCAATGCCAATATCCAGGTTGTGATATTGTACTATAGTTTTGCAGGCAATTACCATCAGGAGAAGCTGGGTAAAAGGCCCATGGGGTCACTTACATCGTTTCTTACAACTCTATATGAATCTAGTTATCTCAAAATAAAAAATTTAGTTTTTAAAATCAACTGAATGTAGATGAATTACAAATATTTTTAAGGGATCCTGAGTATTCAGCTAAGGGAAAGGCAAGGTGAAAAGGGAGGCAAGTTATACAGGGGCTTATTGCGTGTTTTCAAGATACAGTCTGGGTGATAAGACTATTCAGCAAGAACTCAAAAGAATCCACAGTAAACAGACACCTGCTGTTTGCAAACCAGTAATCTAGAGCTCCATAGTTCTTGGTAACAAATCCTCAGGAGGAAATGCCCTTTCAAAGAAAAATGGCTCTTCTGTGACAGTTTGATATAATCTATAATTATTTCTAGGTGGATTTCCCATTCTGATTCTTTCTAGGATGCTATTAGGCCCTGCCTGAGTGAGGCCTTAGTTCAATAGTGTCTTCATACCTCCCCAGAATGCCAGGTTGACCACAGACTCTCCCCTGATGATATTCCTACAACATGTATTCAAAGAGGAATTGATGGCAGCACTAGGCTAGAGAGGGAGGGTTGATGGGGACTTGTATTCAGTGCCTCTCTTCCCATCTCTAGGATGCAGCCTTTTACATTTAAACCATAGGGTACTGGCATTCTTTTTTTTTTTTTTTTTTTTTTTTTTTTTTGAGACGGAGTCTCGCTCTGTCGC
The DNA here is from genome assembly GCF_000001405.40 of Homo sapiens. Lineage (NCBI taxonomy): Eukaryota > Metazoa > Chordata > Mammalia > Primates > Hominidae > Homo > Homo sapiens. Next base: position 211,035,290 of record NC_000001.11, read on the forward strand.
CCAGGCTGGAGTGCAGTGGCGGGATCTCGGCTCACTGCAAGCTCCGCCTCCCGGGTTCACGCCATTCTCCTGCCTCAGCCTCCCAAGTAGCTGGGACTACAGGCGCCCGCCACTACGCCCGGCTAATTTTTTGTATTTTTAGTAGAGACGGGGTTTCACCGTTTTAGCCGGGATGGTCTCGATCTCCTGACCTCGTGATCCGCCCGCCTCGGCCTCCCAAAGTGCTGGGATTACGGGTACTGGCATTCTAAAATATTTTTATTGCTAGGACATTTTATCAGGATAAATGTGAGACATTCTCTTTCCAAGTCTTTATATAAAAGGCTATGAGTGATTCCAGTAAGATCAAGTTTTTACCATCTGACCTGGGATCTTACATATTTCACCCTGATATAAACTCTTTAGCAATTATCAGGACATTACTGAAAACAGAAGATGGAAATTCCATGGAGTGAGTTCTTTATTACAGAAAACCAACATGCTTGAGAGAAATTCCCTGACCAAAAGAGTATTTCACAGCTAGTTAACTATCTGGCTCCAATAGTCCTTTCAAAATACAGTACAAATGACTATTCATATTCCTCAGAAAGATTTCCCTGAGACTGACCACCTTCCTCCTCAGAAGTGTGTGTAGAAATGGATTCAGACTAGAAAGACAGGTGACAGCATTGCTCTGATTGTTACCAATGCACCAGGCGCTTGGTCTAGGTTCCACTGCTTGCCGCACATAAAGCCAATCACTGAGATGACAAGTACTGCCAGGAAAGAAGGCTTTAATCGGGTATTGCAGCTGAAGAGATAGGAGAGCAGTCTCAAATCCATCTCCCTGACCAACTAAAATTGGGGGTTTATGTAGTGGGGAAGGAATGTAGCTACATGTGGGTAAACAGGAATTAGGGAGGGGTAGGGAAGAAGAGTTGGCCATCAAAAAGCAGGTGGTTGGTTAGGCAATCATGATGGGTGAGAGGTCTGGCAACTCATTGTCCAGATGCAGTGTTCTGGTGAGTTTCAGCTCCTTGATACTATCTGGGAGGCCTGATGGTTGGTTTCCTGAGAAAAGGACTCAGATAGGACAAATGTAACTTTCTTAAGTTTTAAGACTGGGACGGTCAATTTCTATGTTTCTTGAAAAGAAACCAAAAACATAAGTTCTACAGGACAATTGGGCAAGTTTCACCATGAGCCTGTGATCTCCACCCTCAGCACAAAAAGCTTTCTCAGGATCATTCAGGATATAACTATCTGGAAAGAGGTTAGTGTCCTCCAAAGGGAAGGAATCTCTGGGCACTGAGTCACAATGCATAGGATACAGACCTTGTCCAGTCATAGAAGCATGCCCTATGTTAGACGCTCAATGAGATTTCAGAAGCTTTGCGGAGAAATTAGGCTTAATAACCTGGTCTTGGTGATCCTGGTGACTACAGTACAGTCAATAATCTCCCTCACCTCTTTTCTGCCCTTGTCAGTATGAGCATGTGCTTCTATTGTCTTCCTTTGATTAGTCTTGTACAATGGAAGCTTCCTAGGAGAGGCTTGTGTCTGTCCTATTCCCCCAGTCAGACTGGGAGTTCCCCAAAGGCAGATGCTACTTCTCCTAGGATAATGTCACTAGTCCACACTCTCCCTAATCCTCTCCTGCTACAACATCCAATGCCAGGCTTTGTCCAGAGGAAGTGCTCATTAAAGGCCATTATTTATGGGGTCAAACAATGCTCATCTTGAAGACTGATTCTGGAAGGAAAAAAGGGTTTTTCTCTTGATGAAAAATAGGGAAATCAGACTGACTAACCTATCACATTTCTCTAGCATTTTTACTTCCAAAAGTCCTCTATTGTATTTTTAAATCCTTATAACCACCCTGTGAGGGAGTTCTACAGATGGGAAAATGGAGGCTTTGTAATAATGGAGGTGACATGACTCACCCTGAGTCATGCAAGGGGTGAGTAAGCAGAGAAGCTGGGAGTAGAAGCAAGGCCACCAGCTCCAAGCCTCTGAGCCTTTTCACTAATCCATCTGCACAGCGTGAAATATTTTTCATAGCACACTGACATACATCATCACATCTCATGCAATGGGAAGGCTGGTATTTTGCTTATTTTACAAATTAGGAAAATAGACCCAGAAGGTAAACTATTTGTTCACAATCACATTGCAGATGACAAAACAGGACTGTACGCTCAAGTCCAGTTTCCTAATTCAGTGCTTTTTTTTTTTTTTTTTTTTTTACTGTACACAGACTCTTGATAACTTACTGTTTTTCTACAGAACCCCTGAATGATAGCAACATGCCTTCCTGTCATCTTATGCAACCAGCTCCTGGTCAAAGGCACCATCTCCCACTGTGGACCTTCTCCAGGACTTCCCAATTAAATCCAAAACCAGGCACATCGGCCAGAGCCTGTCTCTCTTAAGAGTACCTACCCTAATCCCCAAACTACACCTAACTAGAGTAGGAGAGCAAGACCATACCTTGTGATATGGTTTGGCTGTGTCCCCAACCAAATCTCAACTTGAATTGTATCTCCCAGAATTCCTACATGTTGTGGGGAGACCCAAAGGAAGGTAAGTGAATTATGGGGCCAGTCTTTCCCCTGCTATTCTCATTATAGTGAATAAGTCTCACGAGATTTGATTGATTTATCAGGGGTTTCCACTTTTGCTTCTCCCTCTTTTTTTTTTTTTTTTTTTGAGATGGAGTCTCACACTGTTGCCCAGGCTGGAGTGCAGTGGCGTGATCTCGGCTCACTGCAAGCTCCACCTCCCAGGTTCACGCCATTCTCCTGCCTCAGCCTCCCGAGTAGCTGGGGCTACCGGCACCCACCACCACGCCTGGCTAAATTTTTTGTATTTTTTAGTAGAGACGGGGTTTCACCGTGTTAGCCAGGATGGTCTCGATCTCCTGACCTCGTGATCTGCCCGCCTCAGCCTCCCAAAGTGCTGGGATTACAGGCATGAGCCACCACACCCAGCCACTTCTCCCTCATTTTCTCTTGCTGCATTTGCCTGCCACCATGATTCTGAGGCCTCCCCAGCTATGTGGCACTGTAAGTCTAATTAATCCTCTTTTTCATCCCAGTCTCAGGTATGTCTTTATCAGCAGCATGAAAACGGACTAATACAGTAAATTGGTACCAGTAGAGTGGGGTGTTGCTGAAAAGATACCCGAAAATGTGGAAGCAACTTTAGAACTGGGTAACAGGCAGAGGTTGGAACAGTTTGGAGGGCTCAGAAGAAGACAGGAAAATGTGGGAAAGTTTGGAACTTCCTAGAGACTTGATGAATGGCTTTGCCCAAAATGCTGATAGTGATATGGACAATAAGATCCAGACTGAGGTGGTCTCAGGTGGAGATGAGGAACTTGTTGGGGACTGGAGCAAAGGTGACTCTTGTTATGTTTTAGCAAAGGGACTGCTGGTATATTGCCCCTGCCCTAGTGATTTGTGGAACTTTGAACTTGAGAGAGATGATTTAGGGTATCTGGGGGAAGAAATTTCTAAGCAGTAAAGCATTCAAGATGTGACTTGGATACTGTTAAAGGCATTCAGTTTTAAAAGGGAAACAGCATAAAAGTTCAGAAAATTTGCAGCCTATGTGATAGAAAAGAAAACCCCATTTTCTGGGGATAAATTCAAGCTGGCTGCAGAAATTTGCATAAGTAGCAAGGAACCTAATATGAATCCCCAAGACCATGGGGAAAATGTCTCCAGGGAATGTCAGAGGTCTTCATGGCAGCCCCTCCCATCATAGGCCCAGAGGCCCAGGAGGAAAAAGTGGTTTCATGGGCTGGGCCCAGGGTCCCTGTGCTGTGTGCAGCCTAGGAACTTGGTGTCCTGTGTCCCAGCTGCTCCAGCTGTGGCTGAAAGGGGCCAACATACACCTCAGACTGTGGCTTCAGAGGATGGACACCCCAAGCCTTAGCAGCTTCCACATGGTGTTGAGCCTGCAGGTACACAGAAATCAAGAATTGAAGTTTGGGAACTTCCGCCTAGATTTCAGAAGATACATGGAAATGCCTGGATGCCTAGGCAAAGGTTTGCTACAGGGGCAGGGCCCTCATGGAGAACTCCTTCTAGGGCAATGTGGAAGGGAAATGTGGGGTCAGACCCCACACAGAGTCCCTACTGGGGCACTGCCTAGTGGAGCTGTGAGAAGAGGGCCACCATCCTCTAGACCCCAGAATGGTAGATCCAACAGCTTCCACTGTGCACCCAGAAAAGCCACAGACACTCAACGCCAGCCCATTAAAGCAAATGGGAGGGAGGCTGTACCCTGCAAAGTCACAGGGGCGGAGCTGCCTAAGACCATGGGAACGTAACTCTTGCATCAGCGTGACCTGGATGTGAGACCTGGAATCAAAGGAGATCATTTTGAAGCTTTAAAATTTGACTGCCCCGCTGGATTTCAAACATGTGTGGGCCCTGTAACCCCTTTGATTTGGCCAATTTCTCCCATTTGGAACAGCTGCATTTACCCAGTACCTGTACCCCCACTGTGTCTAGGAAGTAACTAGCTTGCTTTTGATTTTACAGGCTCATAGGTGGAAGGGACTTGCCTTGTCTCAGATGAGACTTTGGACTGTAGACTTTTGGGTTAATGCTGAAATGAGTTAAGACTTCAGGGCTGGGTGCGGTGGCTCACGCCTGTAATCCCAGCACTTTGGGAGGCTGAGGCAGGTGGATCACGAGGTCAGGAGATCGAGACCATCCTGGCTAACACAGTGAAACCCCGTCTCTACTAAAAAAATACAAAAAATTAGCTGGGCGTGGTGGCGGGCGCCTGTAGTCCCAGCTACTTGGGAGGCTGAGGCAGGAGAATGGCGTGAACCTGGGAGGCAGAGCTTGCAGTGAGCCAAGATCGTGCCACTGCACTCTAGTCTGGGCAACAGAGCAAGACTCCGTCTCAAAAAAAAAAAAAAAAAGACTTCGGGGGACTGTTGGGAAGGCATGATTGGTTTTGAAATGTGAGGACATGAGACTTGGAGCGGCCAGGAGCAGAATGATATGGTTTGGCTGTGTCTCATCCAAATCTCAACTTGAATTGTATCTCCCAGAATTCCCATGTGTGGGAGGGGGTGCTAATTGAATTGTGGGAGCCATTCTTTCCTGAGCTATTCTCGTGATAGTGAATAAGTTTCATGAGATCTGATGATGGGTTTATTAGGGGTTTCCACTTTTGCTTCTTCCTCATTTTCTCTTGCTGCCACCATAGTAAGAAGTGCCTCTCACTTCCTGCCATGATTCTGAGGCCTCCCTAGCCATGTGGAACTGTAAGTCTGATTAAATCTCTTTTTCTTCCCAGTCTTGGGTATGTCTTTATCAGCAGCATGAAAACAGACTAACACACCTTGAAAATTTTTCGTGTCCAGTAAATATCATCATGCAAAGTGATTTTTGCAGAGAATGGTCAGAGATCATAATATTTTATTCTAAGCTCTTAAGTCTTATTCCCTGCTACACCTCACTCTTAACTCATGTTTTTGCCTTAGGAATCACTGAAAAAACGGAACCAGAGAGAGACTCCTGCATCCTCCAATGGTCACATATCTACAAATCAGCCTCCATCCTCACCTACCTACTTCATCTTGTTTCAACAGAGGAAGTGCCTTCTTCTGTGAAAGGCCAGTTCCTCCCAAGTGCTCTGAGCCTCATCTTCCCACCTCCTCAAATGCTTTACCCAAGCCCTCAACCTGTGATCCTCTCCTTTTTCTTCCCATCAACCTCTCTTTGAATACAAAATCAATTCATCAACATCTTTAGACATAAATCAACTCAACTTTCTTGCTACAGCTCTTTTGCTATTTCCCTTTATAGCCAGATTTTTTGAAAGGGAAGTCTAAACACAATGTCTCCACTTTCTCACCTCAAATCACCTTCCAACGCATCCCAATCTGACTACTGCCTCCACTTGCTAAGGAAATAGCTGTTGTTAAGGTTAGTGTTACTAAATCCAGTGTACTCTTCCATCCTGATCTACTTCATCCTCTCAGCAGCATGCACAGTTCTTCCTTCTCACTCTCCTTGCTTGGCTTTCCTAATGCCACTCTCTCTTGCTCTGGTACCACAAAGATGTGCAGCTTAGCTCCCCCTTCAAGCAAACCTCCAGAACTAATCTATCACAGGGAGTTCTGTTGCTTCTACCACCAAATAAATATAACTCAGGAGCCATTCACTACCTCTCACTCACTTCTACAACTATATTCAATGTACCATCCTGTCTCACAACAGCATGGCAGCAGCTTCAGCTCTCTCTACTTTCATTCTTGCCCTCCTCAAATTCACATATCATACATCAACTTGTATTCCATCAGGTCACTTCCCTGATCAAAACCTTCCAGCTCTTTATATCAGACTCCATCAGACTTCAAATAAGATCTACATTCTTGCTGTGACCTACAATCCCCTGCCTATCTTTCCTACCTAATCTGAACCCTTCTGACTTCACCAAGCATACTCCACCCGCTGGCTTTTTTGTTGTTGTTTTTTTGAGATGGAGTTTCACTCTGTGGCCGAGGCTGGAGTGCAGTGGCATGATCCTGGCTCACTGCAACCTCTGCCTCCCGGGTTCAAGTGATTCTCGTGCCTGAGCCTCCTGAGTAGCTGAGATTACAGATGCATGCCAACACGACCAGCTAATTTTTGTATTTTTGGTAGGGATGGGGTTTCATCATGTTGGCCAGGCTGGTCTGGAACTCCTGACCTCAAGTGATCCACCCACCTCAGCCTCCCAAAGTGCTGGGATTATAGGCATGAGTCAGTGCACTTGGCCCACCCACTGGCTTTCTGCAAAGACACCAACTCTTGCTCTGTGGGAGCTCAGAATGCTCCTCTCCTACTTTCCATGTGGGTGAATTCTTCTCAACTTTTAGGTCTCAAATTAAGTGTCATCTCCTTATAGAAGCCTTCCCTGACACCCTCTCTCAAATAGATTCTTCACCCACTTCTTTCTTCTGTTACTTTCTATTTATCAACAGGATTTTTATTATACTCATCAGGAATTGTAATACATCTATCTATTTTTTTACTTGTTTATAGATGTCTCTCTTACTAGATCATAAGCCCCATGAAAACAAAGTGCTTGTCTCTCTACTTACCATCACAAAATTGGTCCTTAACACAAGGCCTGGCATATAGTGTTGAACAAAAGTCACTTGAATGAAGAATTAGCTCAACAATTTATAAAACAATTAGTACTAGACCTAAGAAATGAGATATACAGCAACACAATAATAGTGGGGGACTTCAACACTCCACTGACAGCACTAGACAGGTCATCAAGACAGAAAGTCAATAAAGAAACAATGTATTTAAACTATACCCCGGAACAAATGGACTTAACAGATATTTACAGAACATTCTACCCAACAACCACAGAATTTACATTCTATTCATCAGCACATGGAACTTTCTCCAAGATAGACCATATGATAGGCCACAAAAACAAGCCTCAATAAATTTAAGAAAATTGAAATTATATCAAGCACTCTCTCAGACCACAGTGGAATAAAACTGGAAATCAACTCCAAAAGGAACCTTCAAAGCCATGCAAATACATGGAAATTAAACAACCTGCTCCTGAATAATCATTGCGTCAAAAATTAAGATAGAAATTTAAAACTTCAAGAGAACAACAATAGTGACACAATCTATCAAAACCTGTGGGATGCAGCAAAGGTGGTGCTAGACAGAAGTTCATAGCCCAAAATGCCTACATCAAAAAGTATGAAAGAGCATAAGACAAGCTAAGGTCACACCTCAAGGAACTAGAGAAACAAGAACAAGCCAAACCCAAACCCAGCAGAAGAAGGGAAATAACCATGATCAGAGCAGAACTAAACGAAATTGAAACAAACAAACAAAAAGATAAATGAAACAAAAAGCTGTTTCTTTGAAAAGATAAATAAAATGGATAGACCATTAGCAAGATTAACCAAGAAAAGAAGAGAGAAAATCCAAATAACCTCACTAAGAAACGAAACAGGAGATGTTACAACTGACACCACTGAAATACAAAAAGATCATTCAAGACTACTATGAACACCTTTACACACATAAACTAGAAAACATAGAGGAGATGGATGAATTCCTGGAAAGATACAACCATCCTAGCCCAAATCAGGAAGAATTAGATACCCTAAACAGATGAATAACAAGCAGTGAGATTGAAATGGTAACAAAAAAATTACCAACAAAAAAAAATTCAGGACCAGACAAATTCACAGCTGAATTCTACCAGACATTCAAAGTCCTCTTGACACTATTCCACAAGATAGAGAAAGAGGGAATCCTCCCTAAATCATTCTATGAAGCCAGTATCACCCTAATACCAAAACCAGGAAAGGACATAACCAAAAAAGACTACTACAGGCCAATATCCCTGATGAACATATATGCAAAACTCCTTAACAAAATACTGGCTAACTAAATCCAACAACATATCAAGAAGATAATCCACCATTATCAAGTGGGTTCCATACCAGGGATGCAGGGAAGGTTTAACATACACAAGTCAATAAATGCAATACACCACATAAACAGAATTAAAAACAAAAATCATATGACCATCTCAACAGACACAGAAAAAGCATTCGACAAAATCCAGCATCCCTTTATGATTAAAACTCTCAGCCAAATCAGCATACAAGGGACATACCTTAATGTAATAAAAGCCCATCTATGACAAACCCACAGCCAACATAATACTGAATGGGGAAAAGTTGAAAGCATTCCCTCTGAAAACTGGAACAAGACAAGGATGCCCACTCTTACCACTTCTCTTGAACATAGTACTGGAATCCTAGCCAGAGCGATTAGACAAGAGAAAGAAACAAAGGGCATCCAAATTGGTAAAGAGGAACTCAAACTGTCACTGTTTGCTGATGATATGATTGTATACCTAGAAAACCCTAAAGACACCTCCAAAGAGGTCCTAGAACTGATAAAAGAATTCAGTAAAGTGTCCAGATACAAAATTAATGTACACAAATCAGTAGCTCTTCTGTACACCAACAGCGACCAAGTGGAGAACCAAATCAAGAACTCAACCCCTTTAACCCCTGGCTTAGGCAAGGATTTCATGACCAAGAACCAAAAAGCAAACGCAATAAAAACAAAGATAAATAGCTGGGACTTAATTAAACTAAAGAGCCTTTGCACAGCAAAAGGAGCAGTCAGCAGAGTAAACAGACAACCCACAGAGTGGGAGAAAATCTTCACAATCTATACATCTGACAACGGACTAATATCCAAAATCTACAACATCTCAAACAAATTAGCAAGAAAAAAAAATTAATCCCATCAAAAAGTGGGCTATGGACATGAATAGACAATTCTCAAAAGAAGATATTCAAATGGCCAACAAACATATGAAAAAATGCTCAACATCACTAACAATCAGGGAAATGCAAATCAAAACCACAATGTGATACCACCTTACTCCTGCAAGAATGGCCATAATCAAAAAATAGTAGATGTCAGCATGGATGTGGTGAAAAGGAAACACTTCTACACTACTGGTGGGAATGTAAACTAGCACAACCACCATGGAAAACAGTGTGGAGATTCCTTAAAGAACTAAAAGTAGAACTACCATTTGATCCAACAATCCCACTACTGGTTATCTACCCAGAGGAAAAGAAGTCATTATATAAAAAGGATGCTTGCACACACACATATTTATAGCAGCACAGTTCGCAATTGCAAAAATGTGGGACCAACCCAATGCCCAACAATCAATGTGTGGATAAATTGTGGGGGATATATATATATATATATGAATAATAGAATAGTGGTCTCAGCAATAAAAAGGGAATGAATTAATGGCATTCACAGCAACCTGGATGAGATCGGAGACTATTATTCTAAGTAGAGTAACTCAGGAATGGAAAGCCAAACATTGTATGCTCTCACTTATAAGTAGGAGCTAAGCTATGAGGATACAAAGGCACAAGAATGACACAATGAACTTCGGAGACTCCGGGGAAAGGGTGAAAAGGGAGTGAGGAATAAAATACTACAAATTGGGTCCAGTGTATACTGCTCAGGTGATGGGTGCACCAAAATCTCACAAATCACCACTAAAGAACTGACTCATGAAACCAAACACCACCTGTTCCCCAATAACCTATGGAAATAAAAAAATTAAAAAGAAAAAAAGAATTAGCTGAAGAACAAATTAAGCCAAAGAAGCAGCTAAATAAAAAGATCCAAATAATTATATAATTATTTTTAAACCACTTTACTGAGGTATGATTGTAATGGAAAAAGCTGTGCCTATTTAATGTATACAACTTGAGGAATTTGGAGATAAGTATACTCCTGGGAAACCATCACCACAATCTATGCCATAAACCTTTCCATTACTCCAGAAGAAGTTTCCTCCTGTCCTCTTTATTATTGTCTGATAAACACACTTAACATAAGTTCTACCCTCTTAGCAAATTTTTAAGTATACAATATTATTAACTATAGTCACTATGCTATACTATATATCTCTAGGACTTATGTATCTTGTATAAGTGAAACTTTGTGCCCTTTGACTAATATCTCCCTGTTTTGCCCTCCCCGCAGTCCCTGGAAATCACTATTCTAGTCTCTGCTTCTCTAAGTTTGACTATTTTGGGTTAATAATACAAGAGCTATCATGCAGCATTTGTCCTTCTGCGTCTGGCTTATTTCACTTAGCATAACGTCCTCCAGTTTCATCCATATGATCACAAATGGCAGGATTTGACTCTTTTGTAAGACTGAATAATATTCCATAGTGTTATACACCCTATTTCTTTATTCACGTAATATAACAAATATACAAAATAATGCATTTTCTTTATTCAGCTATCAATAGATATTTAGGTTTCTTCCATGTCTTGGCTATTGTGAATAATACTGCAATGAGCATGGGAGTGCAGCTATCTCTTCAAGAGCCTGATTTTAATTCCTCTGTACAATTCTTGACAAAAATATAATATCAAGAACATTCTTAAAATACTATTATAATCATGATATAGACAAGAACGGATATGTTATGTTCTAGGTTCATATTCTAATTATGTGTACCTTCCTTGAAGAATAAAAATAAAAGCAAGAGTCCATGTAGACCATGTAATAGCATGAAAGTTTCCAGCAGATGCCCTTCCCCAGGAGCGAGGGTGTTATGGCATTGGTTATCATTTACTGAGTACTTACTACATGCCCTACCCTGACCTCATAAGCCCTTTATATTTAGTTCATTTCATTTTCACAACTCTATGAGGTACCTACTATTATCATTCCTATTTTATAAGAAGAAACTAAGGCTTAGAAAAGTAACTTGTCCAAGGCCACAAAGGTTTTAAGGGTGCAGCCAAGTGTTAAAACCTTTGCCAAGTTTAACTCCAGGGTCCATGCTTTAAACCCCTCTGCTCTCATGCCAGGTTCCAGGCTGAGTACCTCACATACAAAATACAATTTCATCCTTATAACAACCATGCAAGGTAAATATTGGTCTCTATTTTATAGACAAGGAAAAGTTATTCAAGAGAGGTTAAGTTGCCCAAAACTTAAGTTGCACAAAGCTAATTAAGTGGTGAAGATGAAATTCAAACCCACATCTAATTCAAAAACCCATAGTCTAAATTAATACTAACCAATGGAAATAAAATGCAAGCCACAAATGTGAGTCTTATATGATTTAGCAGCCACAAAAAAAAGTAAAAGAAAACAAGTAAAATTTAATATTTTAATCCAATAATTTAATGTAATATATCTAAAATATCATTTCAACAGGTAATCAATATGTAAAATCACTTGTGAGATGTTTTACATTCTTTATTTCATACTGAGTTTGAAATCTGATATGCATTTCACACCTAGTATACCTCTCAATTCAGACAAGCCACATCTCAATTGCTTAATAGCTACATATTGCCAGTGGTTACCACACTGAACAGCACAGGTCTAAACCATGAAGTTATACTACACCACACGAATATCCTGAACTAACTTAAACAAATATAGGCATTGGTCTCAGACATAGATTTGTAATGGATCAACTATATACATATTAAACAACAAAATAATGAAGTAAAAAATGTGAACGCAGGCATGTGTGTACATGCAAAACCGTGAGACAGGGAGGTGGGGAATGGGCAGGCCATATCAGAAAATGAAGGGATGGTGGGGACACGCTTACAGAGAGGGCTAAAAACACAGTAAGTTCATCAAGGTGCGGCTTTTGAAAGCCGAACCTGGCAAAGTCTCAGCCTGGAAACTCCAATCTTGGCTTCAGAGCTGATCAACCTTGAGCAAGTCAAGATCTCCATGCCTCAGTTTCCTCACCTGAAAAATGAAGCTAATACCACATAGACCAGAGAGATACTATGAAGATCAAATCAGAATATAGATACAAGTGAGTGTGTGTGTGTGTACATTCTTGTGAATGGTTAAGCAGTATTCAAAAACTAATACTTATGTCAACAAAAGAAATAATTAGCAGGGTAAAAACAGACAACCCACAGAGTGGGAGAAAATATTCTCAAAATATGCATCTGTCAAATGACTAATATCCAGAATCTACAAGGAACTCAAATCCGCAAGGAAAAAAAAAATCCTATCAAAAAGTGGGCTAAGGACATGAATAGACAATACTCAGAAGAGAATATACAAATGGCCAACAAACATATGAAAAAATATACAATGGCCAAAAAATGTGAAAAAAATGAAAACATATGAAAAAATAATCCTATCAAAAAGTGGGCTAAGCACATGAATAGACAGCTCTCAAAAGAATATGCAAATGGCCAACAGACATATTAAAAAATGCTCAACATCACAAATTATCAGGGAAATGCAAATCAAAACCACAATGCGATACTACCTTACTCCTGCAAGAATGCCCGTAATTTAAAAATTAAAAAATAATAGATGTTGGCATGGATGTGGTGAAAAGGGAACACTTTTACACTGCCGGTGTGAATGTTAACTAGTACAATCACTATGGAAAACAGTGTGGAGATTCCTTAAAGAACTAAAAGTAGATCTACCATTTGATCCAGCAGTCCCACTCCTGAGTATCTACCCAGAGGAAAGTAAGTCATTATATGAAAAAGACACTTGCACATGCATGTTTACAGCAGCATAATTCGCAACTGCAAAAATATGGAACCAGCCCAAATGCCCATCAGTCAACAAATGGATAAAGAAAATGTGGTGTATATACATATATACATATACCACGGAATACTACTCAGCCATAAAAAGGAACCAAATAACAGCATTTGCAGCAACCTGGATGGAGTTGGAGACCATTATTCTAAGTGAAGTGACTCAGGAATGGAAAACCAAACATCGTATGTTCTCACTTATAAGTGCGAGCTAAGCTATGAGGATCCAAAGGCATGAGAATGATACATTGGACTTTGGGGACAAGTGGGGAATAATGGGGGAGTGAGGAATAAAAGACTGCACATTGGGCACAGTGTACACTGCTCAGGTGATGGGTGTACCAAACCTCAGAAATCACCACTAAAGAACTTGTCCATGTAACCAAACACCACCTGTTCCCCAAAAACTATTGAAATTTAAAAAACTAATAGTTTTGTGCAAATAAAGAAAAATATTACTTCAGGAGATTCCGGATGAGAATCAGGAAGTTTCAAGCCTAAAATTGGGGTAGTCCAGAAAGTACTTAGCTTCCTCAAGGATCAGAGACCAAGAAAAGCAGAACTGAAATAGACTAAGAAGAAAGGGAGACTGATAAAGTTCATTTATTTGAAGAAAAAAAAAATAAAGTAGCCTCACAAACTCCATCAGTTCTATAAAACCTGGAGTCTAATAAAAACAGCCATTAACTGAATATCTGATGGAGAGCTGGACATGAAAATGGACCCACAAGGAACCCACAGTTTAGAACAGAAGAGAGATGTGTAAACAAATTATTAAAATATAATGCAACAAGTGGTAGGAAATGCATATGTAAAAGTACTTTAACAACAAGGGAAAAGAGAAAACAAATTGACTTAGGTGGTCAGAAAAGGCTTAGATTTTAAAGCGATTGTCAAGATCTCCATTAAAGGATGAGCCACAAGGCAGATAACACTCACATATGTCTGGCATTTTAGGCAAACCAACTGTGTGTGCAAAAGCTCAGATGTGTAAAGGAAGGCAGTACAAGAGCTTACTTGACAGGAATGTGGTGTGGCTGAAACATAGGGGGTTTTTTGGTTTGTTGTTGTTGTCATTGTGTTTTGGGGGACTAGAGAGGGCAATACTGGGTGATAAAGCTGAATTAAGGGAGAGCAGGACTTGATGTGCCCTTGATGCACAGGTAAGAACTTTTAAGTAAGATAGTTTCATAGTCAAAGTGCTCTTGATGAAGGTAACTGGGCAGCAGTGTGGAGGAGGGCCTGGAAGGGGCCAGTATGGAGGCAAGGAGGCCTGCTACAAGACCACTGCAGGATTCCAGAAAGAAAAGACACAGGCTTGAACTGGGGAGTAACATTAGACAAAATTGTCAACAAACTCCAAGTTTTCCTGAGAGCTTGAAGACCTGGCCAATCCACTATGGCCAGAATGGGCCCTAACAAGGGTCGCCAGTACCTGCAGCCTCAAGATCCCCATCTCTCAGGAGTATCAGCTGTCATCTCCCTGGACAGTGGCAGCAGAAGAAACCAGAGTCAAACACAGAGAACTTTCTCTTTGACACTGGTCCCAGAGTGCTCACCACTTGCCACCAAATTGGCTTCACTGGTCATTTAAGGACACAAGTAGAGCACCCTCCATAAATACCACCATCACCATCATCTACAACTGCCTGAACATCTCCCTCTGAGGGTGATAAGAAACCTTGGTCCTCTAAACCATTACTCTAGGTACACCCATGCCAGCACCTATATGTGTGTTTCTTTCCATTCCATAGAGTTCCAAAAAGCTTCCCTGTTTAGAAACGACTTGGGTTTTTATGACTACAAAGTGAGGACAAACTCAGCCCACACATTCTTAAAAAAAAAAAAAAAAAAAAAAAAAAAAAAGGACAGCTTGATGCTAACAAGGCTGGGGTGGCGCTCTAGTCACAAAACAAAGCCTGATTTGGGATTTCAGACATCCCTAGCTAAACAACGTCTTAATTCCCGTCATAAACACCCTTCTCCATAAACCAGGCAGGTGCTATTTTTAGGACTTTTTCCATGATGCACTTGTTCTTTAATGGAAGAGGTAAGGGCAGTGGGAAGCAATTAAAAGTATTAACCATACGCTTTACACTACAGTCCAGGACCAACCCACATGACACCGTCACAAATACAATCCCACGCTGAAATGCAACTGGGTAACAATCTCGGTTTCTTCCTATTTTGTTGAGAAATACTTCAGTTGTATTCTTTTAACTTTTAATCTTGAAATCTTCAGTTGTATTTTTTTATTTCAATATGATGAAGAATTAGTGGTGAGGCTGGGTCACAGAAATGTTGCTATCATAATCAAGTCAGTCATGAATAGTTTTCCATTATCCATGATCAAGGTAGAAAGGTGACATGAGCAGAGGAAGGAGTTAATGTGAAAAGAAAATGACATTTACTGAGGTCCCTACCAAGGGTCTGCACTGAACCAAGTGATTGCTTCCTTTTCTCATTCATTCATTCAATGAACATTTATCAAGTACCTACTATGTGTCAGAATTGTGTTCGATGGGAGAGAGAACAGTAAACAACCGAGATATTAATATTTTTGTTTTGTTGTTGTTGTTGTTGTTGTTTTGAGAGAAGAGTCTTGCTCCATCACCCCAGCTGGAGTGCAGTGGCACAATCTCGGCTCACTGCAACCCCCGCCTCCCGGGTTCAAGTGATTCTCGTGCCTCAGTCTCCCAAGTAGCTAGGACTACAGGTGTGCACCACCACACCTGGCTAATGTTTATATTTTTAGTAGCGATGGGATTTCACCATGTTGGCCATGCTGATCTCAAGCTCTCGATCTCAGGTGATCTGCCCACCTCGGCCTCCCAAAGTTCTGTGATTACAGGCGTGAGCCACCATGCCTGGCTGAGAGACACTAATTCTGCCTGTGTGGGCCCTTCATCTAATGGAGGCGGCAAACCTGAAACCAAAGCTTTCCCAGTGTCATGAACACTCAAAGTAGAAAGTGCACATGGCAAGGACAGCTTCTAAGAGGAAGCCTACCTGGAGTGGGGTAGGAGCAGCTGGAAAGGCCTCAAAGAGCACATGTGAGATCTACACTGAGACTTGAAGAGTAGGAAGTAGCCCAGCCAACAGATGGAGCAAGAGCTTCCAGGCAAATGGAGGGCATGTTCCAAGGCCCAGCGTCAAGAGAGAGTGTTTGACAGACATAAGTGCCTCCTGGCTGATGCTGAGGTCAAAGGGGAGTGCAGCTAGTTGAGGCTAGAGAGGTGAGTTTGGTCTTGTAAGTCACCATGTAAAATTTAAATTTATCCAAAGAGGCAACAAAAAGACATTAAAGGATTTTTAAGGAGTAATAAAATCAGAGTTGTCTTTAAAAGAATCACAAATCCTCACAACAATCTCTTAGGATAAGTAGTATTATACTTATTTCATAAGAATGAGGAAAGATTAGGGAGGCTAAGTAACTTTTACAAAGTCACACAGCTGGAATGTAGTGGAGCTTTGGAGGAGGATTCGGGTCAGTCTGACTCCAAATCTCTCTCTTTGCACTACGTCATCCTGTCTCTAAAGAAAGAAAAAGAAAAAAAAAATGCAGAAAATCCCTAAACCTGATTTCAGCTAATCATTTATTACTTTTTCACCAAAATCAAGTGCAGAGTTGATCCCTGGCATCATTGAACAGTTGAGTTCTCCCCTGCCTGACTTAAGTAAACAAAGTTTATTAAAACATAATAAATACATACACAAAACAGCCCTCCTAGGGAAAAAGCAGAGAATACCCTTCCACAAAATCCCAGCCTCAGAAAAGAGAGAGCTGATCAGACGGAATTCCGTGGCCCCCATGTGCACAGGCCAGCCTTTAGGGCTGGAAGGCAACAGGAAGGCCATGCACTGGTTCGGCCACTACCCAAGCTCATTTTCAATGTACCATGAAGCGGTCGTCCAAAACACCCCAGTAATAGCACACTTACAACCTACAGTCACAGCCATATTGCCCACCTTGAGATCATTGTGAGTATTTTAAAAGACTCTTTATGAGAGGCAACATTGCTCAAAACCCAGGTACTTACAGTAGAAGCTCCTGTTGCCAAAGTGACTTTCTTCTCCAAAGCCACAGATCCACATAGTGAGGAGTCATTTCAGCGTTATCACTTTTCCCCTAGTCTGAGGAGCCAAATGAAGCCAACACCCAAAAAAGTTAAAGAGAAGAATAGGAAATCTCAATTTTAGAGATTGGCAAACAAGGGAGCTTCTTTCTAGAAAAAGGGGTAACATTTTTTGCTCATGGAAATCCTAGCAGCTTCCACCAGTGCTACTGGATTTAGGACCAGGAAACTAAGGATTTGGGTATGGCCTCAGCTCTACTACAGCAGCACGCAGGTCACTCATCACCAGAAAATGTGTATAGCAAGCCTGACTGTGCATGTGTTCAATAAGTAAAGTTCATCACAACTTTAATTCTCTGTGTATCTGTCCAGCTGCCTGTAGAGGTGACTGGCTCATGGCCATCTCGCTCCTCATGCACATCCTACAGATGGATGGCTGAAAGCTGTACTCTCAGGCACGTAAGGAAAGCATCCTCTAGATTTACCAGACCAAATCTTTGTGTAGTTCATAAAAAAATAGATAATTTCCCTTTAAATTTTTATTTATATGTTAAAATTTAAGATTGAGTAAAACAATTAATAGCATTGCTAATGGTGAGGGAAGAAAGAAAATGGCTCTTGTGATTAGATAGGCAGTGTAAACTGGCCCAACCTTGTTTTTTCAACTTCAGCACTTTCTACCCAGTTTTAAATGTTCACATCCTGCCTCCTTACTTTCACTTCTAGTAATCTATCCTATTCATAAGAGCATGAGTGTTTAAAGAGTTATCAGGCAGTAGAGTAGACTAAGTAAATGCAAGTAAACTGTCCATTTCTACCAAACACATTGAAACATAACAGAAATACAAACCAGTGCAGCCAATGAGAGCTGAAACCAAACAGACCAAGAGTTTTTCAGAAGCAGGGGTTATCGGAACCAGTTATGCACTATAGGAGACATGAGGGGAGGCCACAAGCTCCTGCTGGAGCGACAAGGAGCTGCCCTGATGGAGAAACACAAAACAGAAAATCTCTATTCCATATCTCAAAGATATAAAAAGGAAACTCATCATCTATCTAGAACTTTTGGTAGAAAAAAGGGTTATCTGTAAAAAATCAGAACCCCAAGTCTGTGCCATGCCTGGGTAGAGTCAGAATTTACACTGCTTTCATAGTTAGCAGCTCCAAGGCTAAAACTCTTACAGAAAAGTTGGCCTGAACCAGGCGAAACCATAGTTTGTGACATTGATAAACTCAACTTAACCACCACAATCAGATGCCTCATCAACTGGGGACCCAATGGACTCCCACCAAAAAACTCCAGTTGCAGATAAGCTTACCACAAGAGGAAATTAAACACCAAGAGAGAGGATTTAAGGTGTGCCTAAATTCTGAAGCAATAAAAAACGAGCAATGTTAGCAGACATGAATAAGACATTATTTTTGAAGAACAGGAAGATTTGAAAAATAACTACACAGAATTTCCAGAAATAAAAAGATAGACATTTGGCTGGGCATGGTGGCTCACACCTGTAATCCCAGCACTTTGGGAGGCCAAGGCAGGCAGATCACCTGAGGTCAGGAGTTCAAGACCAGCCTGGCCAACATGGTGAAACCCCACCT
This sequence comes from Homo sapiens, assembly GCF_000001405.40. Classification (NCBI taxonomy): domain Eukaryota; kingdom Metazoa; phylum Chordata; class Mammalia; order Primates; family Hominidae; genus Homo; species Homo sapiens. The sequence goes on from NC_000001.11 coordinate 211,054,103, forward strand.
CTACTAAAAATAATACAAAAAAAAAAAAAATTAGCTGGGCGTGGTGGTGCATACCTGTAATCCCAGCTACTCAGGAGTCTGAGGCAAGAGAATCTCTTGAACCTGGGAACCAGAGGTTACAATGAGCCAAGATGGCGTCCCTGCACTCTAGCCTGAGTGGCAAAATGAGACTCCATCTCAAAAAAGAAAAAAAAAATTAAAATTAAACAAAAATCTCAATGAACATATGATTCTAAAATATTCAGTTAAGCTATGATTTCAGAGAGACGGAATAAATAATGACATATGTAGAAATGAAAAGACTAAAAGAATTTATTATTCTCAGACTCTATGAAAGAGCTACTCAAGGATATACTTCAGCAAGAAGGAAACTAAAATTTGTGAAATACAAAATCTATGATGACCAAACAAAATGGTAAAATATATATTGATAAATCAAATTAGATATTAGCTATGGAATAGAAAAATAACGGCCAATAAGGAAGTTAAAAATAAGAAAAAACTAAAATGCTAGATAACAGTATGTATGACAGTACTTTAGAGTTAAAATACTCTAAATACTGAGGTCCTTGTTTTGCGCTAGAAGCAGTTAAAGTTATTAGCTTCAAAATGAGTATATGCTGTTAAAAATATACAAATGTAATCTATAAAAGAACAAAAATAGAATGTATACCTTTGAAACCAATAGAAAAAAATAAAAATAACATTGAGTGGAAATTAAGGAAAGAGGAAGGGAGATAAAAAGGGAAAGAGGGAGGAGAGAGAAAGGAAGGGATGGTGGAAATGGAGGGGGAGAAAGCAGATAAACAAAACACAAATTAGATACCAGAATAATAGCAGGCATATTCCAAATATATCAGTAAGAATAAGAACCATAAAAAGATTAGATTGGAAGCCACATCAAGACAGTAGAATAGAAGCCTCCAGCGATAACCCCCTCCACAAGAACACCAAATTGAACAATTATCCACACAAAAAAAGCACCTACGTAAGAGCCAAAAAAATCAAGTGAGCAATCATAGTACCTGGTTTCAACGTCATATAAAAAGGCACTGAAAAGGGTAGAAAAGACAGCTGTAAATTGCCTATACCACCCCTCCCCTATCCCCAGCAATGGCCACTTGGCATGGAGAGAGAATCCAGGGACTTAGGGGAGGAAAAACACAGTGATTGTGGGACTTTGCATTGGAACACAGTGCTGCCCTGTCAGTGGAAAGTAACATGGGGCAGAGCTCAGCTGGTACCCATGGAGGGAGAATTCAGACCAGCCCCAACCAGAGGCTAATCATTCATCCCAGTAGTCAGAACCTAAGTTCCAACAAGCCATGCCACTGCAAGCCAAAGTCCTCTGTGATGCTAAGTAAGCTTAAAAGGCAGTCTAGACCACAAGGACTATAATTCCTGGGCAAGTCCTGGTGCTGTGCTGGACTCGAAGATAATGAGTGTGGGGTGAATGTGACCCAGTAAGATACCAGCTGGGATGGCCAAGGAAGTGCTTGAGTCACTCCTCCCTCAACCCCAGACAGCGCAGCTCACAGCTCCAGGAAAGACTCCTTCCCTCAGCTTGAGGAGAGGGGAGAGTAAAAAGGACTTTGTCTTGCAACTAGGATACCAGCTCAGCCACAGTAGGATAGGGCACCAGGCAAAGTTCTGGGGCCCCCCCATTCTGGGCTCTAGCTCATGGACAACACTTCTAGACACACCATGGGCCAGAAGGGAACCTGATGCCTTGAACAAAAAGACCCAGTCCTGGTAGGCTTCACTATGTGCTGACTACAGAAGACTTGGGCCCTGAAAAATCAGGAATGGTAACCAGGCAGTGCTCACCCCAGGCCTTGGGTAAGAGTCAGAGCCATGCTGGCTTCAGGTGTGACCCAGAACATATCCAGCTGTGGTGGCTATGGGGAGAGTCTCCTTTTGCTTGAGGAAGGGAGAGGGAAGAGGAAAGGAGACTTCATCTTACAGTTTGGGTACCAGCTCAGTCACAGTAGGGTAGAGTGCCAAGAAGGCTCCTGGGATCCCCGATTCATGGCTTTGGCCCCTGGACCTGCCCTAAGACAGAGGGGAACCCACTGCCCTAAAGGAGAAACTCAGGATGGACAGTATTTACCATAAGTTGACTAAAGAGCCCTTGGGACTTGAGTGAACATCGGCAGTAGCCAGGCAGTACTTGCCAAGGGGCCTAGGGTGGTGGTGGCTACAAGCCTTGAGAAAAGGGGAGAGTGGGAAGGACTTTGTCTCATGGCTTGGGTGCCAGGTCAGCTACAATAGAATAAAGCACCAGGTAGATACCTAAGGTTCATGACTCCGGGCCCTGGCTCCTGGACAGTATCTCTGGACCCATCCAAGGATGGGGGAAACTCACTGCCCTGAAGAGAAGGAAACAAGCCTGCCTGGATTTGCCACTTGCTGATTGTAGAGCCCTTGGGCCTTGAGTGAACATAAGCAATAGCCAGGCAGGGGGTCACTGTAGGCCTTGGGTGGGACCCAGTGTTGTGCTGGCTTGGGGTCTAACCTAGTACAGTATCAGTGTTGGTGGCCACAGGGATGCTTGTGTCACCCATCTGAAAGGGGCAGGTAGCTCGGCACAGAAAGAGACACTCCATTGGTTTGGGAGAAAATAAGGGAAGAGAATAAGTATCTCTTCCTAGTAATTCAGAGAATTCTTCTGAAGTTCACTCAAGACCACCAAGGTGGTACCTCTACGAGTCTGCAAGAGCCACAGCTTGGGGTGTGCCCTTATGCAGGCACAGCTGCAGTAACCAAAAACTTAGTCAAAACACCCAAATCCCTTTGAATACATGGAAAGCCCTCCCAAGAAAGATGGGTTCAAACTGCAATACCAAACTCTTCAATCCCCAGACACTGATGAACATCCACCAGTATCGAGACCATCCAGTAAAATGCGACCTCACCCAAACAAACTAAGTAAGGCACCCAGTGACCAATCCCAGAGAGACAGAGATATGTGACCTTTCAAAGAAAGAATTCAAAATACCTACTGAGGAAACTCAACAAAATTCAAGATAACATAGAGAAAGAATTTAGAATTCTATCAGATAAACTTAATAGATTAAATAATTTAAAAGAATCAAGTAGAATTTCTGGAGCTGAAAAATGCAACTGACATACTGAAGAATGCATCAGAGTCTCTTAATAGTAGAACTGATCAAGCAAAAGAAAGAAACAGTGAGCTTGAAGACAGGCTATTTGAAAATACACAAAGGAGACAAAAAGAAAAAGGAATTAAAAGCCAGGCACAGTGGCTCATGCCTGTGGTCCTAGTACTTTGGGAGGCCAAGGCAGGCAGATCGCTTGAGCCCAGGAGTTCGAGACCAGCCTGGGCAACATGCAAAACCCCATCTCTACAAAAAAAAATTTTTTTAATTAGCTGGGTATTATGGCGTTTGCTTGTAGTCCCAGTTACTTGGGAGGCTGAGGTGAGAGGATCGCTCGAGCCCAGGAGGTTAAGGTTGCAGTGAGCCATGATTGTGCCACTGCACTCTAGCCTGGGTGGCAGAGAAAGACCCTGTCCCAAAAAAATGAGAAAAAGAAAGAAGAAAACAGAAAACAAAGAAGACAGAGAGAGAGAGAAAGAAAGAGAGAGAGAGAGAGACAGACACGAACTACAAAATAGTCTCAAAAGTTATTGGCCTTAAAGAGGAGATGGGACGACAGATCCGAAAAAAAAAGTTTATTAAAGGGATTATAACACAGAACTTTCCAAATCAAGAGAAAGATATTAATATTCAAGTACAGGAAAGTTACAGAACACCAAGCAACCCAAATAAAACTACCTCAAGACATTTAATAATCAAACTCCCAAAAGTCAAGGATAAAGAAAGGATCCTAAAAGCAGCAGCAACAGAAAAGAAACAACACACAAAAGAGCTCCAATATATCTGGCAGCAGACTTCTCAGTGGAATCCTTATAGGCCAGGAGAGACTGTCACAACATACTTAAAATAGAGAAGGAAAAAATTTCTTATCCTATGATAGTATATCCAACAAAAATATTCTTCAAACATGAAGAAAAAATAAATATTTTCCCAGACAAACAAAAGCTGAAGAATGTCATCAACACCAGGACTGTCCTACAAGAAACACTAAAGAGAGTCCTTCAGTCTGAAAGAAAAGGATATTAATGAGCAAAAAGAAATTATCTGAAGGTACAAAACTCACTGGTAATAGTAAGTACACAGAAAAGCACAGCATATTATAACTGTAATTGTGGTGTATAAACTAATATCTTGAGTAGAAAGACTAAAAGTTGAACCAATAAAAAATGGTAGCTATATTTTTTAAGACAGTACAATAAAATAAATAGAAACAACAAAAAGTTTAAAAGCAGGGGATGAAGTTAAAGTGCAGACTTTTTTATCAGTTTTCTGTTTTCTTGATTGTTTATGCAATCAACATTAAGTTGTCATCAACTTAAAATAATGGCTGATATTATTCCCAAGCCTCATGGTAACTTCTAATCAAAAAACATACAATACATCCACAAAAAAAAGCAAGAAAATAAAACCCACCACCTGAGAAAATCACCTTCATGAAAAGATAGAAAGAAATGAAAGAAGGAAGACCACAAAACAACCAGAAAAACAACAAAATGGCAGAAGTCCTTACTTACCAATAATAACATTGAATGTAAATGGACTAACCTCTCCAATCAAAAGTCACAGAGTAACTAAGTGGATTAAAAATAAACAAGACTCAAAAATCTGTTGCCTACAAGAAACATGCTTCACCTAGAAGGACACACACAGACTGAAAATAAAGGGATAGAAAAAGATATTCCATGCAAATGGAAACTAAAAAACAACAGGAATAGCAGCTATACTTATATCGGACTAAATAGATTTCAAGACAAAAACTATAAAAAGAGAAAAAGTCAGCCAGGTGCGGTGGCTCACGCCTGTAATCCCAGCACTTTGGGAGGCTGAGGTGGGTGGGTCATGAGGTCAGGAGTTCAAGACCATCCTGGCTAACATGGTGAAACCCTGTCTCTACTGAAAATACAAAAAACTAGCTAGGTATGGTGGCATGTGCCTGTACTCCCAGCTACTCAGGAGGCTGAGGCAGGAGAATCATTTGAACCTGGGAGGTGGAGGTTGCAGTGAGCTGAGATCACACCACTATACTCCAGCCTGGGCAACAGAGCGAGACTCCATCTCAAAAAAAAAAAAAATAGAGAGAGAGAGACAGAAAGTCATTAATGATGATAAATGAGTCAAATGATAAGAGTCGATTTAGCCAGAGGATATAACAATTGTAAATACATATGCACCCAATGGTAGTGCACCCATATATGTAAAGCAAATATTATTAGTGCTAAAGAGAGAGGGAGATTCCTGGGGCTGGGCACGGTGGCTTATGCCTGTAATCCCAGCACTTTGGGAGGCTGAGGCGGGTGGATCATGAGGTCAGGAGATCGAGACCATCCTGGTTAACACGGTGAAACTACGTCTCTACTAAAAAATATAAAAAATTAGCCGGACGTGGTGGTGGGCACCTGTAGTCCCAGCTACTCGGGAGGCTGAGGCAGGAGAATGGCGTGAACCCGGGAGGTGGAGCTTGCAGTGAGCCGAGATTGCGCCACTGCACTCCAGCCTGGGCGACAGAGCGAGACTCCATCTCAAGAAAAAAAGAGTGAGAGAGAGAGAGAGAGAGAGATTCCCAATACAATAATAGCTAGAGACTTCTACACCTCACTTTCAGCACTGGACAGATCATCTGGACAGAAAATAAAGAAACATGGGATTTAATCTACACTACAGACCTAACAAATGTTTACAAAACATTTCATCCAACACCTGCAAAATACACATTCTTCTCCTCAGAACATGAATAATTCTTAAGGAAAGACCATAAATTAGACCACAAATCAAGTCTTAAAATGTTCAAAAAATTTAAATTATATCAAGTATCTTCTCTGATCACAAGAGAATAAAACTGGAAATCAATAACAAGAGGAATTTTGGAAACTATACAAACACATGGAAATTTAAAAATATGCTCCTAAATGATCAGCGGGTCAATGAAGAAATGAAGAAGAAAATTGAAAAATTTCTTGAAACAAATGAAAATGGAAACATAACATACCAAAACCTATGGGATACAGCAAAAGCACTACTAAGAGAAAAGTTTATACCAATAAATGCCACATCAAAAGAACAGAAAAACTTCAAATAAATAACCTTATGATGCATCTTATGAACCCGGGAGGCGGAGCTTGCAGTGAGCCGAGATCGCGCCACTGCACTCCAGCCTGGGCGACAGAGCGAGACTCCGTCTCAAAAAAAAAAAAAAAAAAAAAAAAAGAAATAAAAAAGCAAGAGCAAACCAAGCCTAAAATCAGTAGAAGAAATAATAAAGATCAGAATAGAAATAAATGAAATTGAAACAGGAAAAACAATATAAAAGAGAAATGAAATAAAAGCTGGTTTTTTGAAAAGAAAAAAATCAACAGAACTTTAGACTAAAAAAAAAGAAAGAAGACTCAAAATCAGATGTAAAAGGAGACATTACAATGGATATTGCTGAAATAGAAAGGATCATTAGAAGCTACTATGAGCAATTATATGCCAATAAATTGGAAAACCTAGAAGAAATGGGTAAATTCCTAGACATATACAACCTACCAAGATTGAGCCATGAAGTAATCCAAAACCTGAACAGACCAGTTACAAGTAATGAGATCAAAGCCATAATAAAAAAGTCTCCCATCAAAGAAAAGCTTGGGATTCCATGGCTTCACGCTTAATTTTACCAAACATAAACAAGAACTAATACCAATGCTACTCAAACTATCCCAAAAAATAGAGGAGAAGGAAATACTTCCAAACTCATTCTACAAGGACAGTATTACCCTGATACCAAAATCAGACAAAGATACATCAAAAAAAGACAACTACAGGCCAATATCCCTGATGAACATTGATGCAAAAATCCTCAACAAAATACTAGCAAACTGAATTCAATAACGCATTAAAAAGGTCATTCATCATGACCAAGAGAGATTTATGCCAGGGATGCAAGGGGTTCAACAAATTATGCAAATTAATCAGTGTGCTGCATATCAACAGAATGAAGGACAAAAAACATACAATCATTTCAACTGACACCTTAAAAACATTTGATAAAATTCAATATGCCTCATGATTAAAAATAAACACCTCAAGAAACTAGATAGAGAAGGAACATATATCAACACAATAAAAGCCATATAAAACAGACCCACAGCTAGTATAATACCGAATGGGGAAAAACTGAAAGCCTTTTTTCTAAAATCTGGAATGAGACAGGGATGCTCATTTTCACCACTGTTATTCAACATAGTACTGGAAGTCCTAACTACAGCAATCAGATTCAATCCTTGCCAGAGCAAAAGAAATAAAGGACATCCAAATTGAAAAGGAAGAAGTCATTGTTTGCAGATGACATAATCTTAAATTTGGAAAAAACTAAAGACTCCATTAAAAAAACTATTAGAACAGATAAACAAATTCAGTAAAGTTGCAGGATAGAAAATCAACATACAAAAAACCAGTAGCATTTTATATACCAAGAGCAAACAATCTGAAAAAGAAATCAAGAAAGCGATTCCATTTGCAATAGCTACAGATAAAATACCTGTGAATTAATTTATCCAAACAAGTGAAATTTCTCTACAATGAAAGCTACAAAACATTGAGGCAAGAAATAGAAGAGGACACACACAAAAAAGGAAAAGTATTCCATGCCCATGAGTTAGAAGAATCAATATTATTACAATATCCAACTACCCAAAGCAATCTACAAATTCAATGCAATCCCTATTAAAATACTAATGGCATGCTTCACAGAAATACAAAAATTAATCCTAAAATTTATATGGAGCAACAGAAGACCCAGAATAGCCAAAGCTATTCTGAGCAAAAAGAACAGAACTGGAAGAATCACATTATCTGACTTCAAATTATACTACAAAGCTGTAATAACCAAAATAGCACGGTACTCACATAAAAACAGACACATAGACCAATAGAATAGAATGGAGAGCCCGGAAATAAATCCATACTTCTAGAGTGAACTCATTTTTGACAAAGGTATGAAAAACATACATTGGGGAAAGAACAGTCTCTTCAACAAATGGTGCCAGGAAAACTGGATTATCCATATGAAGAAGGATGAAATTAGACCCCTATCTTGCACCCAACACAAAAATCAAATCAAAATGGATTAAAAACTTAAATCTAATACCTAACTATGAAACCACTAAAAGAAACATTGGGGAAACTCTCCAATACATTGGACTGGGCAAAGATTTCTTGAGTAATACCACACAAGTACAGGCAACCAAAGCAAAAATGGACAAATAGCATCATATCAAGTTAAAAATCTTCTGCATGGCAAAGGAAACAATCAACAAAGAAACAATCTACAGAATAGGAGAAAATATTTGCAAACTATCCCTCTGACAAGGGATTAATAACCATAGTAATATATGGAACTCAAACAACTCTATAAGTTAAAAGCTAATAATCTCATTTAAAATGGACAAAAGATCTAAATAGATATTTCTCAAAAGACGACATACAAATGGCAAAGAGGTATGTGAAAGATGCTAAACATCACTGATCAGAGAAATGCAAATCAAAATTACAATGAGATATCATGTAACCCCAGTTAAAATGGCTTTGATCCAAAGGACAAGCAATAACAAATTCTGGTGAGGATGTGGAGGAAAGGGAATCCTCATAAACTCTTGTTAGAAATGGAAATTAGTACAACCTCTGTGGAGAACGATTTGGAGATTCCTCAAAAAACTAAAAATCGAGCTACCATATGATCCAGCAATCCCACCTGCTAGGTATATTCCCAAAAGAAATAAATCAGTACATCAAAGAGATATCTGCACTTCCCATATTTATTACAGCACTATTCGCAATAGCCAGCATATGGAATCAACCTAAGTGTGCATCGATGGATGAATGGGTAAACAAAATGTGGTACACATACACAATGGAATATTATTCAACCATAAAAAAGAATGAAATCCTGTCCTTTGCAACAACATGGATGGAAGTGGAGTCTATTCAGTGAAATAAGTCAAGCGCAGAAAGATAAAGATCTCATGTTATTAATCATGTGGGGGCCCAAAAAAATAATTAAACTCATGAAGATAGGGTAGAATTACCGTTACCAGAGTCTAGGAATGATAGTAGTGGTGGCAGGCTGGGTGGAATAAAGAGGAGATGGTTAACGGATAAAGAGGATTTGGTAGTAGA